>NC_000017.11:9733535-9885050 GCF_000001405.40 Homo sapiens | reverse complement strand
GGATTCTTTCTCAGAAATCTGCCTCACATAGCTCCACATGAATTACTTGTCTTTACCGGGCCTTGGGTGAGTGAGATCAGGTGATCAAGGGCTCACATTGCCTGACCCATGCCTTCCGGAGAAAAAAGGCCACCAAATATTACTACATAACAGCTGCAGAGTTTTTTTTCCCCCTCTAATTTAGGACTACCTTTTAAAGAAGATTACGGCCAGGAACACAAAAATTCCAAATTACTAAACCTTATCTTTTGAAATTCCCTAAAAGACTGAAATAAACATGTTTTCATAATGGGAAAAAAATTGCTTATGGATCCTCTGTCTTGGTTCAAAGCCACAAAGAATTCAACTCCAACAGGAGGGAAAAAAATATTGTCCAACTGCTCATACCACACTTCAGGCTCTGGCTCCTCGGCCTTTGGTGAGCATGCAGTGGGCGGACACATTTTCTCTGCTCTGTGTACGAAATCTCAGCACTTGACCCTGTCTGGTATATTGCTCCAATATATCAGACAGCACTTGACCTTTAAGACTGGTATAGGGAACTTGGTGTCTCCTGGTTCTAATCTTCACAAGGCACCTGAGAGGCACTATGGCATAGTGGTTACAGGCAGGGGCTTAACCTCTGAATAAAAACCTCATCTCTGATACATGTTAGCATGTGAAAGTCCTCTGAGCCTCAGTTCTTTCATCTTTAAAATAGGTATAATAATTTATCCTTCATAGGGATATTTTGTGAATCCCATGAGGCTGAAATTATTCCATGTTAAACAGATACTTTCCAGTGTACCATTTTAATTCCTTTGCTAGTATTTTAAATACATTTTTTAAAGTTATTTTCTTAGTGTTTATTCCAGGGATTACAACATGCATCTTAACACAATCTATTTCATATTAACACTAACTTAAGCCTGGTAAAATATAAAAATGTTCTCCTATATATCTCTATTTACTCATTCTTCTCCTGTGATATTCTTGTCATATATATTAGATCTTTATATGTTATAAGCCCAAAAATACAATGTATAGTTATTATTTTATACAATCTTGTATTTTTAAAATCAGTTATGAGAAAAAAAACCTACACATAGCCTTTCAGATTTACCTGTGTATCTACCTTTTCCACTGTTTTTTATTTCTTCATGTGGATTTGAGTTGCTGTCTGTTGTCGTTTTCTTCCAGCATGAAGGACATCCTTTGATATTTCTTGAAAGGGGTGTTTGCCAATAATGATTTCTCTCAGTCTTTGTTTTTATGATAATGTCTTTATTTCACCTTTATCTTGAAACATACTTTTGCTGGATTTAGAATTCTTGATTGACAATTGTTTTCTTTCAGCATTCTGAATATTTTATACCACTGCCTCCTGGCCTCCATTGTTCTGATGAGTAGTCAGCTGTTAATTGTATCATTGGTCCCTACATGTAATGAACAATTTTTCTCTTGTTGCTTTCAATATTTTCTCTTCATTTTTGGCTTTCAACTGTTTGACTGTAATGTTTCCAGGCATGAATTTCTTTGTTTTATGCTTTTTGGAGTTCATCAAGCTTCCTGGATGTGTAGATTAACATTTTTCTTCAAATTTGGAAAATTTTCAACCATTATTTATCCAAATATTTATTCTACCATTTCTATCTTTACTCTCCTTCTGGGACTCTCCTATGTGTATGTTAGTATGCTTGATGGCATTCCACAGGTCTCTGAAGCTCTATTATTTTTCTTCATTCTTTTTTCTTTCTTTTCCACAGACTGGGTAATCTCATTGACCTATCTTCAAGCTCACAGGTTATTTATTCTGCAATCTTAAATCTAAGCTTTCCTAATAAAATTTTCATATCAGTTATTGTAGTGTTCAACTCCAGAATTTCCATTTGGTTCTTATTTTATAATTGTTCTCTATTGAATTGAGATAATTGAATTCCTTTAATTATTTCAACAACTTTTTCTTTAAATCTCTGAACATGTTTATAATAGCTTTGAAGTCTTTGTCTGATAAGTCCAACATCTAGACATCCCCTATCCCACCCAGAAAGTTTCTAATGACTGCTTTTTTTTTTTTTTTGTCCTGAGTATGGGTCACACTTTTTTGTTTCTTTGCAGATCTCATATTTTTGGAAAAAACTGGAAGTTTTAGATAATATATTATAACAACTCAGGATTCTGATTCCCCAGTCCCCATCCCTGGAGTGGTGGTGGTGGTTTGTTTAGAAAATTGTCTGGACTACTAGTTATGTGGAATCTGTCTCTGCTGTGGTATATGGCCAGTGATGTCTCTGCTCATTTAAAAAATTTTGGTTTTTATTTTTAAATCTGGTCATCTGATGCTGTTTCCAATAGCTTAATAATCAGCCAATGATTGATCAGAAGTTGTTTTCAAACACCTCAAGCCCATAAGACTTCCATACCCTTTGCCAATGGATCCATATGTCACTTGGGGAACACATTCAAAGTTCAGTTTGAAGCCTTCCCTGGCTTTTACTTTCCACCAGACCCCCTCATGTTTCCTCTGTATGTGTGCAGAAACTCACATTCAGCCAGAAATGTGTGAATGTCCTTTCTGGTCCTTCTTGAGTGTGTATGCAACCTTATGCATGTACACAACCTTCCAGTCAACCTGAGAAATATGTGGGGGCTTGTCAAGGCCCACTGTGGCTGTCTCATTCCCCAAATCTTCCCGTAAAATTTCTGGCTAGCCCATCAGCATGTTTTTTCACCCCAGATAGAATGATAACTTCAGGCTGTAACACTGTCCTTCCCTGTTTCTTTGTCACCAAGACGGCCACTGTATCTGGCAATGCCCAAGGATGAGAGTTTTTCTGCTCTTTGATCCAAATCAAGTCAGCCTCCCTCTTCAGTGAAGCTGCTAGTTTTCACTAGAATTTCCTCACTGGTGGAGCAGGGATTAGAGAACAAAAGCAGTCCCAGACAAAAGTAACATAGACTCCCACTGTTATTACTGAATTTCAGTAATTTTTCTTGACTGAATCCTTCTCATTTCTTTTTTTTTTTTTTTTTAGTTAATGTGTATGGTCCCAAAATGGTTGCTATTGACAATTGTCCAATTTTATCATTGCCTTTTGGGGAGAGCTTTTGTAGATCCTCTCTTTATCATCTCAGAAGTCCTGCCCCCACACCAACATTTAAAGATGATTCATTTTCAGATAACTACTCTATGAAGACCTGCGCTGCTGTGCTGTTAGTGGTAATCTGTTGCATTAGTGGCCTTCACTAATGAGCTGCCCCTCCCAGCATTCATGCCTTTGTGCAGTGCCCTACTCTTTCAATCTAGGCTGGGTCTGTGACTTGCTTTAAATGACAGAATGCAGCAGAAGCATCACTGTGCCAGTTCCAGGCATAGGCATTTAAAAGGCCTGGCAGGGGAGCGGTGGCTCACGCCTGTAATCCCAGCACTTTGGGAGGCCGAGGCGGGCGGATCACGAGGTCAGGAGATCGAGACCATCCCGGCTAAAACGGTGAAACCCCGTCTCTACTAAAAATACAAAAAATTAGCCGGGCGTAGTGGCGGGCGCCTGTAGTCCCAGCTACTTGGGAGGCTGAGGCAGGAGAATGGCGTGAACCCGGGAGGCGGAGCTTGCAGTGAGCCGAGATCCCGCCACTGCACTCCAGCCTGGGCGACAGAGCGAGACTCCGTCTCAAAAAAAAAAAAAAAAAAAAGGCCTGACAGCTCCTGCTTTTATACTCTTGGGAGCCCTGAACTGCCCTATCCTGTGGAGAGACCACAAGGAGAAAACACATGGAACGCCTAAGGAATGTCATGGACACTGAGAAATGAGGCCTCAGAAATTTGACCCAAATAAGACTAGCCTCAGCTATTTGAGCCATCCAACTTAGGCACCAGTCATGTGAGTGAAGAAGACATCTTGGTAGTTCCAGCCCCAGGAGGCATCACAGAAGCAAAGGTTAGCCATCCCTACTAGGTCCTACCTAGATTCCTAACTCCCAGAATCATGAAAAATAATTTTAAAAATTGCCATCTTAAGACACTAAGAAATAGATAATAATTTAAGCAATAGATGACCAAAATATTTCCAGGTAACAACCACAGCTAGCCTCTTGTTCCTAGTTTCAACTCCCACACATCTGTCAAGGTTCAATAGCCTCCTGGTCTGAACTCATTAGTCCCTATCCAATTTGTGTTGCATTCTGTGTACATGTCACCTGAAGCACAGACAATGTTTACTTTGCACAATGCTCTGCAGAGAACCCAGCAAAAATAGGCACTTAATAAAAGGCTTCACATTGACACTCATAGTTAATATGATCATGAGTCACACCAACTATTACCACCCAGGAAAGAGACCATTTCCCCCTTCTTAGTCACTGAATCATGCTGGCAGGATCAACGCAATACTTCCCCGTCTGCATGCCCTTCTAATGCCAAGGGCCCTTACTGATAAAGGCTGCTGATGCTACAATTCTATTTTCATCCACGGGCTCCTTAATTCTGAGCCTGTTTCGGCCACATGCATTTTGTTTTCTCCAAAGTCAAGGCATTTTGGTTCAGATTTCTACTTACATGAAAGGAGCTCAGTGTCAACTGAATGAAAAGTCGTATAAGTTTTGCAAATCCTTCAACTTGATCATCAGTGATGAAAGAGAAGAGGATCTCATGAACGCCCAATAAAGGAATGAGGACCAGTGTTGATTTTGCCAATCTGTAAATGACAACCAAATAACAGTCAAGAGGGCCACATGGGGAACAAGCAACATTTCCTGCTCTTCCATGCCATGACTTTGTTGCAGCTCTTACCATATTGATAGTTGTTTCCCAGATGGTCTCCTTCACTACAACATTTAACGCTTCAGGGCCATTGTGGTCTTGTTTACTGTTGTGTTCCTACACTTGACGCATGGGGAATGCTCAGAAAACATGAATTGAATGAATGAATGCATAAATTCCCCTGTATAGATTGTCATATGTCTGTAGCTCTTAAAGTTTTGCCTGATGGATAGATTTCCATGCAAGTGACTGCCACCCTGGGACACTCCACCCCTACCAGGTTTGTTAAATTTCCTATCATGTGGTTAGCAGTTTCATCTATCTCTTTCTTTACTCCGGACTTTCAACATCAGTATTTCCAGTGTTACCATGAGAAGGGAGAGAAAATGAGTTGCCCAGGGTCATACAGACACTAAGTAGTAAACCTCGGGCTGGATGTGGGGGCATCTGACCTGCAGTTCCGACCTGCAGACTCCTTTCTGGACTTCGCTGTCAGCCCTCATGTTGCCCCTTAACCCTGGTGATAGTGAGGGCTGCAGGAAATGAAAAACTGATCCTCCTCATAAAAAGTGCGGCGTGGAGGTTCACTGTTGTATATAGACTACACAAAAAAGACAAACATTCCTTGTGCCACCCACGTGTAAAGTGCACAGCTGGGACCCAAATGTTGCATACTGGTGGTTCCCAAACGTGGCTGACTATTAAAATTCCTTACAGAGCTCTTAAAATATATACATATAGTTTCCTGGGCCTCAGTATCAACTCCCTGAATCCACACCTCTGGAGGTTGGGTCCCAGGAAGTTAATTTTTTTTAAGAGACAGGATCTCCCTCTGTCACCCATGCTGGAGTACAGTAGCACGATTCTAGCTCACTGCAGCCTTGAACTCCTGGGCTCAAGCAATCCTCCTGCTTCGGACTCCAGAGAAGCTGGGACTATAGGTGTGCACAACTGTGCCTGGATAATTATTTTATTTTATTTTATTTTATTTTATTTTATTTTATTTTATTTTATTTTATTTATTTTATTTTATTTTATTTTATTTTATTTTATTTTATAGAGAGGGGATCTTATGTTGTTGCCCAGGCTGGTCTCAAACTCCTAGCCTCAAGTGATATACTACTCCTGCCTCAGTCTCCCGAAGTGTTGGGATTACAGGTGCAAACCACTGCACCTGGCTGGATGTGGACTTTTTAAGGAACTCCTCATGGATCCTGAGAAGTATACAGGTTTGGAAATAACTGCCCTTTACTGTTGAGCTGCTTCTTAATTTAAAACTAACTACATTAGCAGAGATGACTCATATTCGGGGTACGAACAAAGCTACTGTCTTACCCACATTGGGAAAGAGGAGCGTAATTGTAATGATTTTTTTTTTAGCTTAGGTCACTTCTTCTAAAGGGGCCAGACTAGGAGGAACTTCCCCTCAGATCCCATGGAATTAAAGGTGTAGAAAAACAGGGTGGCATTCGCAGTTCATGGGGGAGTTTCTTAAGGAAGGTTTAACTCTGTACGAGAACAAGAGCTTACTATGAATCCTATGTCTGCAAGGGCCATTCAGATGCAATGTTATCAATGAAATAAACAACCTCACCTTTGTGCCCCCAAAGGATCTAAAGCCAAGAAGAGGGGTGCAGGAGCCACCAGGACGGAGGGACTCCACCTGGCCATGTGATTGTGTGAACCAGAGCCTTGACTGTCAGGAAAGGCTGATGAGCAGACAGATGGAATCATGGGCCTTGGCTGTGTGGTTCTCTTGAGCTGAGCTCAGATCGACTCCCACTCCAACACCCACCCCTACAGAAGTCATTTCGCTAGGCAACATTAATATGCTCCTAATGAGAGAACATTTCAAGGGTTTTGTATTTCCAGGAGTGTTTTTAAAGCCCTCTGGCCCAGAGGTTACAAAGTGGTGACCATGGATAGTAACTGACCTGCAGACAACTTTTGCTTAGGCCACGGAGCAATTTTTGTTATTGGAGTCATCTTTAAATAATAATATTTCTAGAAAAAGTGTCCAGGTTTCTGGCTTCTTTTGAAAAATGAGGAGATCTGGCAACACTGGGCTCAAATTCTTGCATGGCAATCGTTGGTTACAGCTGGGCAATGGCTGTCCCTTTAGAAGGAAGCTGTGACATCCAGCCCCCACCCGGCTTGTACTACTCAATTGTGTTACTTGCTTGGCCCTTGTAAGAGTCTGAATTTGTGACCCTTGCTCTGGGTGGGCTGGGTTTTCAAGATACAGACTTATATGCCTACAAGCAGACCTGTGTCTTGTCAGCTTATTCTGATGCCATGTTATGGTGTTATGGTTTTTTAAAACAAACTTTTAATTTTGGAATAATTTTAGATTTACAGAAAATTAGCTAAGGCAGTACAGAGAGTTCCCATGTCTCTTCACTCAGTTTTCCCTAACGTTTTTTTTTTTTTTTTTTTGAGACGGAGTCTCGTTCTGTCGCCCAGGCTGGAGTGCAGTGGCGGGATCTCGGCTCACTGCAACCTCCGCCTTCCGGGTTCATGCCATTCTCCTGCCTCAGCTTCCCGAGTACCTGGGAATACAGGCGCCCGCCACTGTGCCCAGCTAATTTTTTGTATTTTTAGTAGAGACGGGATTTCACCGTGGTCTCGATCTCCTGACCTTGTGATCCGCCCGCCTCGGCCTCCCAAAGTGCTGGGATTACAGGTTTGAGCCACCGCCCCCGGCATAGTTTCCCCTAATGTTAGCATACTACATAACCATGCCCGTTTGTCAAAACTAAGAAACCAACACGGTATATTACTAGGAACTAAAGTTCGGGGTTTATGTGGATTTCCCGCTAATGTCCTTTTCCTGTTCCCTGATCCCACATTTCGTTTAGTACAGAATGATCTATAAAGAATAACAATTTTTTAATAAAGTTTTGGGCTACTCACCCTTCTGGATGGAGACATGAAGGGATTGTCTACCCTTCACCTTATTCTAACTTCTCCTTAGACGAAGTACTATTTGTGTCCCTGTCCAGATGAAAATCCATAAATAGCAATAGCAGTTTACTCTTACAGACTGTGTTTATGCTCATTTTCATCCATAACCTTTTGTTTATTTAAATGGTTCCATTTATTGCAATCATTTAACTATCCAACAAATATTTATTGAGCATCTGCTTATGGCACATGAGTGAATATAGTGGGAAAGAAGGAGTTGTAGTCAAAGGCAGCAGGACACAGGAAGAGTATCTGGGCCTGAGTTCAAATCTCAGTGTTGCCAATTATTAGTGCTATGACTGTGGGCAAATTATTTAACCTCTCTCTCTGTTAGTTTCCTCATCTGTAAAAGGAGTATTATAATAGTAATAGCATCTACCTGACAGGGCTGTCACAAGGATTAAACAAATAACATGGGGTAAACCCTCAGAAAAAATGGTATCTGACACACGATAAATGATCAATACATTTTAGTTATTACTATTTTTAAAGAAGCCATCCCTGCCTTTCGGTTGCTTATAACTCAATTTTTTAAACGAATTTTCCTTGAATTTGTAACATTTTTAGTCTTTGGTTGCTGATGTGGTTCAGAACGTGGTACTCCAAAATATGGCACCTTGACATACTGAGTATTTTAAGCTGAAAGAATTTGAGAAAATCACAGAAGCAGGAAGGTCTCTCTAACCTCCCGCCCTTCTCCCCTGAAACAGGTCATGAAACCTAGGAAGGATTTTCTGACCTTCTCCTGAAGCGGATCACAAGACCCTCATGTGAGAGGTGGAGGAAAGGAACGTCCTTATTTCTGAAGACACAATGACACAAGAATCTGTACAAACAGGCTTTGCCAAATTTCCCCCAGTTTATAACCATTAGATCTCCTTTGTTCAATCATACTTCCCCCATGACTGTCCACTGTGCATTAAACCTAGCATAAAAATACACAAGTTTGACCATTTCTTTGGGTCTTCCTTTCCTTATGAAGTCTCCTACGTCATATAAGACTTATGAAATAAACTTGGATGCTTTTTCTCCTGTTAATCTGTCTTTGTCTAATTTTTAGACCCAGCCAGGGACCCTAAGAGGGTTAAGGAAAAGCTTTTGTTTCCTACATTGCCTATCAGAAAGTCCTTTCAGAAAGAACTGGGGTTTAGCATGTTAAGAAATGCTTGTCGGGCCGGGCGCAGTGGCTCACACCTATAATCCCAGCACTTTGGGAGGCCGAGGTGGGCGAATCACCCGAGGTTGGGAGTTGGAGACCAGCCTGACCAACATGGAGAAACTCCGTCTCTACTAAAAATACAAAATTAACCGGGCATGGTGTCTCATGCCTGTAATCCCAACTACTTCAGAGGCTGGGGCAGGAGAATCACTTGAACCTGGGAGACGGAAGTTGTGCTGAGCCAAGATCGTGCCATTGCATTCCAGCATGGGCAACAAGAGTGAAACTCCATTTCAAAAAAATAAAAATGAAAATGAAATGCTTCTCCTTTATAAATGAATCAAGAGCTCTGCCCAGGTGCATCCCATGGAGAGTTAAGGCCCTTTATCTAGGGGAAGAGAGCTGCCTCTGAGCTGGGAACCACAAAGAACAGAGAACTCCAGCTGAGCTGACGGTCTGCTGAACTCTGTCCGCATTCCTAGGGCATTGCTTACCCTGTTTATAGCCCCAAAGTTCCTCCTTCACACTTGGCTCAGTTCTCTTTCTCCAAGCCAGACAGATGGACCATTTTTTATTTCCTTTGCTTGACGGTGGAAGCCCAGGGACAAGGGCTAAGACTACAGAAGGTTCTCTAGCTCCTAGCAACTTGCCTCTTTGGCAGGGCCTAAATGTGTTTAATTTAAACTTTCCTAAAATATAATCCTGGAGGGAGGCCAGATCAGGGTTACATTCTAAAAGTTCTCAAAATCTTCAAGAATTGGAGGCAGCCTGTACCTACAAGAGTTTGGATAAAATATGCTGGGCCCTGTCACCTCCTCCTTCTTATCCCATCAGAAGTCTTTAAGGGAAAACAAACATGGAAGGGGATGAGGAAGAGGAACAACTTTCCGACATGGAAGAGGGCACTGTGAGCTGAGGAGCTGAGGGGTGCCAATGCCCTGCTGGGGTTATAGTAAAGAGCACTCTCTCAGAACTTGAAAGTGAGAGAATTAGCGAGGCTTTCTAAGAGCACAATGGGCAAGTGAGTTCATAGATGCTGTAGGATTTACCAGCGCAGGGAGTTAAATAAGGTGGTTTAGGTGTGTCCTGAGAGATAGGTCCCTGCCTTTTTGCTAATGAATAAGCATTAGCTAATCAACTCTATTGCACTCTACACAAAGAACAAGTAAACAGAATGGTGGCCAATGAAAATGGCAGGGAAACCACAGAGGGAGGACGTTCTCAGTGCCTATCTCACCCTAGTCTGTGGAGGGCACACTGGATCTGGGGAATGAGCCTCCTTCCCAACAGGTAGGTGGTGCTGTGGGCAGATAGTGATTTTTCAGGCTAACCTCAGCATCCTTCAACAGCAAGACTCTGCTTTGTGATGTGATCACCAGTAACGTTCTTTGGATTCCTGGATCTTCTGGTGTTGCGGATTAGGAAATTTTGGGAGGCATGTGGGCACAAGAAAGGAATGCTCTACCCCATCCCCACCTTCCACAGACGTTAAAAATGAACAGTGTTCTAGTTTATATATATTGTGAGCTCAGCTGGGGTCAGTCAGCCTCCCAAAGTCTCAGCCACTCAAGAATATAGATGGGTTCCCTGTACTATACCCAGGTGGTGGCAAACTCACCAAGGTGAGGCATCTCACCCTAGGAGGACTTTGGGTAGACACACACCAAGGTACCTCTTTTATTATTATTATTATTAAAGAAAAAGGGTCTCACTCTGGCTCAGGCTGGTCTAGAACTCCTAGCCTCATGTGATCCCTTCCCCTTAGGCTCCCAAAGTGCTAGGATTGCAGGCATGAACCACTGCACCCAGCCCCAAGTTCTTCTTCTTAAGCTTTTTCTTTGAACAAGGGCAGGGGAGAGGAAAAAAGGAATTTCCAGACAGACTGCATATGTCAGGCAGGGTTGCTCTTTCTCCCCACAAAGCAGTCACCCTGGATCATCGCTCAGCCATGAGGGTCTCCCCAGTATCTTGATTTACCCTTTCCTAGACCAATGGCTCCTGGTGGGTACGCACCCTCCAGGGCTATGCCGGGCAATCTATTTGATATTGGAAGAAAATATTATAATAGAGGATAATAGGCATTGTATATATATTAATTTTTATCTGTCCTCTTAAATTTTCTATTTTTTGGTCTATCTTATAATACATATATTAGCTCATGATACCATGCATATACATGAGGAGGGATGTGCTCAGAATTTCTTTACTGACAGAGATGTGTGATCAGAAAAGTCTGAAAACTCTAGAGGGGACTCTGGAAAAGAGAACATTGAGGCTGCATGACATTTATAATGGCCCGACCAGAATATTCCACTGAGAACGTCCTCCCTCTGTGGTTTCCCTGCCATTTTCGTTGGCCACCTTTCTGTTTACTAGTTCTTTCTGCAGAGTGCAATAGAGTTGATTAACTAATGCTTATTCATTAGCATGTGTTCTTTCAATAGAACATCTGGCCCAGCAGTCCTCCACACTGGCTGTGTATCAGAATCTCCTGGGAGACTCTGCAGCAGGGGTATCCAACCTTTTGGCTTCCCTGAGCCCCGTTGGAAGAAGAAGAGTTGTCCTGGGCCCCATGTAAAATAAACTAACACTAACAATAGCTGATGAGCTAAAAAAAAAAAAAAAAAAAAAAAGTCCATGCATAGTTTTTGTGATATCCACCACAACGGATAAGCAAAAATGTCCTTCCATTCAAAGGGTTGGACACGGCTGCTCTGTGAGGTTCTATCCCGCATTTATGGAGTCAGAATACCCAGTGGTAGGGCTCACAAGGCTGCACTTCTGGCCAGCTGTCCGGGGATGCTGATGAGGAGCTATGATGAAAAACTATTTAGGGGTTGCTGTGGGTCTTGGGCATGGCGAAGGTGCCAGTGGCCCGTGATAGGCTTTGGGGGCACAAAGCAGCAGTGTGTCAGCTCTGAGTCCCTTTGGGGTCAACTGCACCATTTCTGTCTCCTGGAAACACTAGCCTCTGTCCACTTTCTGGGGCACCCTGGTTTTCCTGGCACCTGTTTATTGAGAGAACTCTCCTCCCTGAGTGCACCCAGCAGGGTGGACTAGAGCAGGCTTTGAAGCTCCACCCTGAAAGAGTGGTGAGAGAGGCTAAGCCTTTGGGAAGGGAGCCAGAGAGACTGCTTGGCCACTTGGAGCCTCGACTGGAGGCGCCAAGAGAGACAGCGTGGCTCCCTGGAGCCCAGGCCAGGCCGGCTCCCCAGGGCTACGGGTTTCTTGCAAAATGTTTGGACCAAAGCTCCAACTAGCAACTATAGTATGTCTGCCCATTATTGAACCGGGTATGTTTACCCTTCTAGACCTCCTAGAGGGAGGGTAGAGTGGCCACCCATATTTATAACCATATCTACAGACTCCTTGAATCCTCATAATAAGCAGGAGATGAGTCTGCAGTGACACTCCCATTTTTACACACCAGAAAGCAGGCCAAAGGGGCCAAGGCACTTGCCTAAGGCCAGTAGGCAAGTCTAGGGTCGTGGCCAGCTCCCTCCGTTCCACCTCCTGCTCCATGCCAACATCCTAGTCCTTAGCAAAGTAGAATGCATGCTCCTCAAATGCAGGGTCTACATCGTGTACACCGTTTTTTGTTTGTTTGTTTTTGAGATGGAGTTTTGCTCTTGTCACCCAGGCCGGAGTACAATGGCACGATCTCGGCTTACTGCAACCTCCGCCTCCCGAATTCAAGTGATTCTCCTGCCTCAGCCTCCTGAGTAGCTGGGATTACAGGCACACACCACCACACCCAGCTAATTTTTGTATTTTTAGTAGAGACAGGGTTTTGCCATGTTGGCCAGGCTAGTCTTGAACTCCTGACCTCAGGTGATATGCCCACCTTGGCCTCCCAAAGTACTGGGATTACAGGCGTGAGTCACCGAACCTGGCCTCATGTCCACCTTTTATTCCAAGCACAGTACCAGGCACATTGTAGGCATCTATTAAATATTTGTCAGATAAAAGGAAAAACTCCCTTCCCAGCACCTGGGTGAGGCCTTATAAAGGGGAGAGAAACAGGGCTAGGGCCATCTTCACTCGTGCCCACCTCTTCTGCCTTCCTGTGTGGACTGAAATTCCTACTCTTAGAGCTACTCTGTGGGTTAAAACACTCCCGTTCCAGAGCCCTGCTGAATGCATATGCCACATAGAAAGCAAAGAATAGGCCACGTGTGGTGGCTCACGCCTGTAATCCCAGCACTTTGGGAGGCCAAGGCTAGTGGATCATGAGGTCAGGAGTTTGAGATCAGCCTGGCCAACATGGTGAAACTCTGTCTCTACTAAAAATACAAAAATTAGCCGGACGTGGTGGCAGGTGCCTGTAATCCCAGCTACTCAGGAGGCTGAGGCAGGAGAATGGCTTGAATCTGGGAGGTGGAGGTTGCAGCGAGCTGAGATCATGCCATTGCACTCCAGCCTGGGCGACAAGAGCAAGACTCTGTCAAAAAAAAAAAAAAAAAAAAAAGAAAGAAAGTAAAGAATAACTAGGAAAAGAGGGAGGAAACCCTTTATCTCTCTTCATTCATTCATTTGCTTTTACAACAATGCAGATCTAATAAATACCTATGATCTGACTGACTATGAATGAGGACTGCTGTCATCTCAGAAAGAGGAAGGTGAGATGCAGCGACAACAAGTCACAATTAAAGGATGCCTGTGGAAGGATGTCTTTCCTTAGACCCTAAAAGTTTGTGGTCTCATTTCTCAAGGTCTCAAAAACACCCAAATAATCTCTTCTCTTCAAATCCTTCCCCAAGGAAGGCAACTGCCAAACTTCTCTTCAAACAAGACTGTCCTTTTCCCACAACCACCCATTCTTAGAAACTTTTTTTTTTTTTTTTTTGAGACAGGGTCACCCAGGCTGGAGTGCAGTGGCACAATCATGGCTCACTGCAGCCTCGACCTTCTGGGCTCAAGCAAGCCCCTCACCTTAGCCTGGGACTACAGGCATGCACCACGCCTGGCTAACTTTTGTATTTTTGGTAGAAACGGGGTTTCACCATGTTGTCCAGGCTGTTCTCAAACTCATGGCCTCAAGTAATCCTCTTGTCCCAGCCTCCCAAAGTCCTGGGATTACAGGTCTGAGACATCACTCCTGCCCTCTTAGGGGCATTTTAACAGTTTTCTGCTGGGGGATGTGAATGCCCTTGACTACTCACCATTTGCTTCATCGTCATAGAAGGTCCTCACCATTGACAAAAGCCTCACTTGATCCTATAGCACCTTCCCAGAACTGCTCTTTCTGATACCCTGGCCTTAGGAGATAAATGTCCTTCCCAAGACAGCGGGCAGAACAGCCAGAGTACTTACAATAACCTTGGACTGCTGGGGACCAACCTTAAGCCACTCACCTGTATTTATAATCTCTGAAGCACATTTGATGAGCTTTGAGCTTAGAAATGAGAAGCTTGAGAATTTTCAGGAAGATGAAGAAATTGACCTTGAAAAAAAGAGCAGAATTGGGTAAGTAAGTGACGAATTCCACATAGCTGTGAACTTCAAGGTCAGGCTGGGCTCGGCCATCAGTTCCATCAGTTCAATGTAAACCAGGGGCAATTCAGCAGTTAGCTGGCCAGGTAGTAAATGCTTAGCTGTGATCTCCACTGTCCTAAAGGCCATCTGAATCTCCACTGTCCCAAAGGCCATCTGAATCTCCAAAGTCCCAAAGGTCATCTGAACTGAAAGTCTGGAAGGAATTTCAGAAAGTGATTTAGTTTATTATTCTGCCTTAAGGAGGCCCATCATTAAGGCCATCTAGAAAGGCAGGTGGACGTTCACATTATTATTATTACTATTATTGTTATTATTATTAACTACCACGTATTGAGTACTTATCACTTAGTACTTAGCACCATGTCAGGCTTTGGGCTAAGAATGGTCCAGGCATTCTTGTATCTAGTTTTTACAACATCCCCTTAAGGTAGCCACAACTATTTTTATCCTCATAAAACAATGAGAAAACAGGCACAGAGAAGTAAGTGTAATTCCCAGGTTGCATGGCTAGTCAGTGATTAAGCCTGTAATTAAACCCAGATTCATGGGATTATAACCCTCCCTTCACTTAAACAGAACGCTATTCTGCCTCTCTTCTGTAAAGAACTCCATCCCTATTGGTGTCTAACTTGAGATCCTGTTGCTGCTATGGAATTCATAGACAGAATATGCTCTCTACTCCCTAGAATACATTCCACGACTGTCATGGACTGGGAAAATCCAGCCCTCCATTGTCAGCCTTTAAAGAAATTTAAAAATATGCCTGCAAATTCCTTGGCCCTTCTGCCTTCAAAAGTGGAGGCTAATCCCCCTTATTCCCCTTGTGAGGTGAGCTAGATTTAGTTACTTGCACTTAACGAAAAGAATATGGTGTCATAGAAGTGGTGCTATGTGACTTCTGGGCTAGGTCCTCAAAAGGATGGCTGGCTTCCACCCAGCTCTCTCTTTCTCTCTCTCTCTCTCTTAGGTTTCTCACTCCAGGGGAAGTCAGCCACCATTTTGTGAAGACACTCAAGCAGCCTGTTGGGAGATCCACGTGGGGTAACTGAGTTCTCAGGCCCAAAACCAGCACCACCCACCACCAGCTACGTGTGTGCGCCACCTTGGGAGCTGATCCTCCAGCCCCAGCCAAGCCTTCAGATGGCTGCGGCCCTGGCTGCCGTCTTGGCTGCAGCCTCGGGAGAGATCAAGAGCCCCCTGGAAGTGGTGAAAAGCAGGTGGCTGGGTTTGGGTAGAGCTTGGAGAATGAGAACAGGGTTTGTGAGAAGTGAGACTGGGCAGGAGAGGGGGGTCCGTTTCTGCAGGGTCTTTCACAGCCGTGGTAGGTAAGGAGTTTGGGTTTTCTTCTGAAAGCAATGAAGAGCCAGTGATAGATTTTAAGCACGCAAGTGACCTGATCAGATTTGTACTTCTGCATTTCAGAAAGATAATTTCAGCAGCAGTGTGGAGAATGGATTGGGTGAGGGTAAGGCTGGAGGAGGGGAGATCAGTTGGGAAGTAGTTTCAGAGTTCCTGGGGGACGGTGATGGAGAAAAGAAATCAGCAGCAGTTCTGGTGCTTCCATGATGGAGAGGAAGGGATCAATTTGAAATGATGAAGAAGTATGAGTCAAATGATCTTTGTTATTGACTGGATGTGAGGGCCTGAAGCCAGCAGGAATGATGGAGGTTCCTAGCCAAAGAATATTTAGGAACAGAAAGTTTAAATACAAGGTAAATGTAATCAAGTAATGTATTTCTTTTAATGGGATATCTGCCTCTCATCATAAAGAGAAAACGTTGTGTCCTTGGCTTAGTGATTTATTGAACATAGGCATTTTTCTTACAAAGCAAGCTTAACAGCAGAAAGGCATTTATTTCAGCAAATTAATTTCAATCAGGACTGTCTCCTAGGCAATGAAAGGTTATAATGGGAAGCATGTTGATTCACTGTTCTCTGTGTCTTCCAGAGACCAGACATGAGAAAATGGGCATCAACCCATAGAACGTACGAAGGAGGCACTTCCTCACTGCCACAGGATGAAACCCTAGCTGGGGGTACCATGAAGCCTCTGCTCATCTGGGCTTCCAAGAAGACAAGAGTCAGCAGGTACTTTTGGATGGTGCTGTTCTTCATTTTCACACAAGCAGGAAAGGGGCTGAGTGAGGACATTTTCCAAGAACCCAGCCAACTCCTCCAGGATTTTGTGACCAGATGGGGGTGGGTGCTAAGGACCCCAAATATATAAGGATCTATCCCAGATGCATTCTCAGATGTGACATTCTTGGTGACACTTTCTTGTTACCCCAGCTTCTGTGCACAGATCTGGGCCTACAAGTTGGCAGAGGTGATTGCCGGTATAGCGGGAGCTCAGGGGTAGGCCTCATCTACCCCTAAACTCTTCCATCTACCGCCAAACCCCTCCTCCTCTGGCCTGCTGTGTGGACTAAAATGCTAATCCTGTAGAGCTACTCTTGTGAGTCAAAACACTCTTTCCCCAAGAGCCCTGCTGAAAGGCACACAACCCACTGAAGCTAAGGAATCACTGGGAGAGGAGGAAGGAAGCCCTTTCTCCTTTCATTCATTCATTCATTTTTGCAACAATGAAGACTTCAGTAAGTTACCTAGGCTCTGGCTTATTATCACCATTTAAAGCAGAAGATGGGGTGTAGCAAAGCTAAGTTTTGATGGGGTGGGAAAACCCAGAGTACAGGGAGAGTCACACTTTAAGTCTTTAGAAGAGGAGAGCACAGGAGTGAGGAAATGTCTTGGGAAGCCTGAAGCCACAGAAAGCCCCTGGGTTCCTGGTGGGGCAGAGGACCTAAAGAGGGACAAGGCCAGTGAAGACAAATTTTACCAGTGCATCAACTTTGCCAAGTTCTGAGGCTATCACGGAAGATTCAACAATAGCAAATGCAGGCTTTTGACTTTATGATTTCATAAAGTCAACAGATGGTTCATTCAATTTGTTAGCTCAAAACAGCCATTTCACCGGGTCTGTTAACTGCAGGGTGCAGGGTATGGATAGAATGACCTTGCATGATGTAATTATTGTCTAAGGCTGTCCTTGAGCAGGACTAATCAAGACTTTACCAATATTCTACTGAGGGCTGGGGAGACTAGGCTGTAAGAATATGCCAGTTTCCGAGATGATTCAACTCTAAATGTACATTTCAGATGACAGGTGAAGTAGTGAAGTCTTATACAAAGAAAGAGGTGGGAATTCTACAATTTCTGCCTGGCAAGAGACCCAAAGGGCATCTGGATTCTTCAGGTTGCCACATTATGGTCATTTCTGAAACACAGGCAACCTTGTACCAACAAAGCAGTAAATGAAGTTTGCTGACGCATCTGGATTTCCAGCATGTTGTACACTCGCATCAACCCAGATGCTGGTCAGCAAATGCAGACCCAGTCTAGGGGATGGTGGGAGAGATCCAACTGTGATAACTAGGGATATTCACCAGGGAGCCGGAACCTGGGATGGGACACTCTCCTTGGTCCCAGTGCTTGGTTCACCATGCACAGTTGGCTTTTCCTCAGAAGCCTCTGATCCATGTTCCCCAAAATTGGGCCCAGGCTCAAATTTGACCAAGTTGAAAGAAAATTGTTAAGTACCTAGAAATGCCAAGTGCTACTAGCTCAGTCTTGATTATTGTTACTCTTTCTTACTTCAGTTTAAGTAGAACATATGTGGGGGCCAAAGAATTATTATTTTTTTCTTAACACAATAAAGATTTATTTTATCTTATTTTATTTTATTGGTTATGTCACAGTCTAGTGCAGTGGAGGGAGTTCTGCTCCATACAGTCATTCAGGAATCCAGGTTCCTTCCACGTTGTGGTTTAAGGAATTCTCTTTTAGAGTTGGGGTTATGTCTATTCAGATCAGTGGAAAATTGCAACATGTGGTCATATGACCAAAAATGAAGGCAGATATTGGTTCAGTCATAGTCTGATGAGTCTCAGAATGATAACTATTAAATTCTGAATTCCCTGAGGATAGAAACTCTGAAATAACCTAGCACCAAGCCAAGCCCAGTGAAGGTGCTCAATGAATGCTAAAGGAAGATACAAGAGAGTGGCTGAATGAGATTCCAGTGCTAAGGAAGCTCTACATGGCAGGAGATTTGATTCCATCAGTCTGGGTAAGTCTGGGCTGGGTATTTTTTTAATCCTCCCCAGGTTGTTTTAATGTGCAGCTACTGTCTAGTCCAGGGTTTTTCAATGTTGGCACTCTTAATATTTGGGGCAGGATAATTATTTATTCTGGGGGTGGTTCTGTGTGTTGTAGGGTGTTGAGCAGCATCCCTGACCTCCACCCACTAGATGCCAGTAGCAACATTCTCCTCCTATCCCCATCCCCAATTTATGACAATTAAAAATGTCTCCAGACACAGCCAAATGTCCCCAGGGGTCAGAATCTCCTCTGGTTGAAAACCACTGGTCTAGTTCAAGACTGATTTCATAGATGAAGAAACAGAGGCCCAGAGAGGCCAACTCACCTGGCTGAAGGACACATCACAAGTCAGTCATAGAGCCCAGGCTCCTGACTCCTAGCCTGCCTCTTTCACTTCTTTCTGCATGGCCTTTCTTTTCCCTTCCATGTCTGGTGGGACACATAAATTCCACTCTCTGGGGAGCCCTAGAACCAATGCACAGAGTCCTAGAATCCTAGAGCTGTGCAGATTGGGAGGGCAGCAGGTTTAGCTCCTTATTGTTCAGGACAGATTATCTTCTTGTAAACTGATAGACATGAAGATCTAATGCCTTTCTCTGGGGTATATGTCAGTGTTTTACAAGTTCATGGTTAAATGTCTTCCTTGTGACCAAAGGGAATGCTCCCATTTCTCTTCAAGCCCGTTTCCTCTAGTCCAAGTGCCTGTAGACACAGACAACAATAGTTAAGCAATGTCCTCTCTAAGAGCTGAGGGTGATTGTGAAATATTCCCTTCTAGGCATGCCTGTTGACTTATTTTAATTGCAGGGGGGTGGAGGGTAGGGGATAGAGAGATTAATAAAGGACTCAGTTTCCAAGGAGAAAGAGAATTTATCAGGCAGACCTGGGGCCATCCAACAGGCACTTGAGGCTTATGTGTGCATGGGAGGAGGGAAACACCATGGTGGAATTGGAGAACTTTAAATGTATCCATACGAGTAGAGCATCGGGCAATTCTGGTTAGGTGAGTAGAGAGGGAATGACTCTAAGGAGTTTAGAACCAGATCTGAGGGAAATAGTGACCCATTAAACAGTCAAGTAGAACAGAGACATAATCAAATTTTACTCCAAAAAGATCACTTGGGCTGCAACAAGAGGATGGATTGTCAGGGGCAAGAATGAAGAAGAGAGACCAAAAAGGAGGTGTTTGCAGAGGTCTGCACACACACACACACACACACAAAATCACAAGGGGCTAAAGAAGAGCAGAGACCAAGGGATTAAGGAGAAGGAAATGGCTTGGAGAGATCTTTAGAAGAAGAATTGACAGGACTTGAAGTCTGAATAGACGTTGCAGGGAGGAAGAGGACAGAAGTTAGGAGAACACCAAGCTTTCCAGCTTGGGTGCCTGGGTGGGTGGGTGGTGGAGCCATTTTCTGGGTAGAGTGAGTAGGAGAAGGAGAGGTCTGAATGGGAAGATGAGGAGTCCACCACAAGCTAAGGTGAGAGTGGCCATTTCAGTAGAGCTGACCATGACTGGAGTCACAGAAGCAACAGCATGTAAAGGTCATTTTATCCAAAGTGAGAAGATAGAGCATGTTCTCTTGTCCCAACTAGGAAGCACCAAGGGAAACTAGAATGCGGGTCAGCCAGCCATAGAAGGCCAAAGCAGCAAGGCCCAAAGCAGTAGTTCTAGCCACTAGGATCATTTCAGGGGTTTTAAAACTACAGTGGGGCCAGACACGGTGGCTCATGCCTGAAATCCCAGCAGTCTGGGAGGCCGAGGTGGGTAGATTGCTTGAGGTCAGGAGTTCGAGACCAGCCTGACCAACATGGTGAAACCCCATCTCTACTAAAAATACAAAAATTAGCCGGGTGTGGTGGTGGAAGCCTGTAGTCCCAACTACTAGGGAGGCTGAGGCACAAGAATCGCTTGAACCCAGGAAGCAGAGGTTGCAGTGAGTCAAGATTGCACTGCTGCATTCCAGCCTGGGTGACAAAGCAAGACTCCGTCTCAAAAAAACAAAAAACAAAAAACAAAACAAACAAACAAACAAACAAACAAACAAAAAAACAGAAAAAACTACAGTGCCTAGGCCCCACTCCCAGAATTTCTAATGTCATAGGTCTGGGGTATAAGCCGCCATGATGTTTCTAACATACAACCAGTTTTGAGAACTCCAGGAGTAGACAAAGAGGTTCACAAACTTTAATGTTCATCCAAAACCTGGGGAGCTTGTTCCAATGCAGACTCGGATTCAGTAGGCCTGGGAGATGGGGCTGGAGAACCTGAATTTATAACAAGCGCTCAGGCGATGCTGGTGCTACCCGGTCTGAGGACCATCCTTTGAAAAGCAAGGTTGTAGCAACATGCTTTTCAACTCAGGCCCCTCCTGAGATCAATGAAACATAAATGTCTGGGGGTGGGACTCAGGCAAAAAGAATTTTTAAAGACACCCAGGGGATTCCAAGAGCAACCCAGTTTGAGAACCATTGGTGTAGCTCCTAGAAGACTGCAAGTAAACACTAGGGATCCAGCTGGACCATGCCTCAACGCTATCCTAGGGATGGCTGCTGGCCTCCATTCTACTTTGTTCTACCTGGTTAGCAAGAACCTTTCAGGGTCCAGAATGTAGGCCATGAGTGTGCACTGAATATGTTTATCAAGAACCCACCATATGCTTGGGCTGGCTGCCAGGATGATCAGAACATGGGGCTTACAGTGGCAGAAAATGGGTTTTAAAGAGATACTTGAAATGGTGTTGGCTAGGGCTGGAGCAGAAGCCTGCACAGGATCTGGGAAGGAACAAAGGAGAGTGTGGCCATTTTCACTTCGTGAGGTGAGCATCCAGGTAGAGCAGCACAGAGAGAATGATGCCTGACCCAAGACTTGAAAGATGAGGAACAGATCACCAGGTGGAAAAGATGGCGAGGGAAGGAGTTGGAGCCAGAGGAGAGTCTGAACCAAGGTACTAAGGTGCAAAAGAGCCTGCAGCATTCAGTATGGCAGGCGTGGGGGCTGGAGGCAGTAAATAGTTTTTGAGCTGCACAGTGCTACGGTTAAAAGTGCCAGCTGTCATCCCATCACACCCTTTGGGCTGAGATCCAGTTTCCATTGACTGGCTCTATGATTTTAGGCAAGTAATTTCTCATCTCAGTGTGCTCACCAGTAAAATAAACCTAAGAATGGCATATCTTCACAGGTTGGTTGGGAAGATTAAATGAGTTCATACACTCATACACAAAGCACTTACAAATGGAGCTGGTATGCAGAAGTGCTTAATAAATGTTTCTGGGACGTTGGTGGAATTGTCCAGACAGGACCCCAGCTGGGCAGTGTGGCTGGAGAGAGGACTGTGGAGGGCAGGAGGATGTGGCAGGGCTAAGCACACCATGTGTGGGGTGTGTGTGCCCAGACCTCATCTGGCACACTATCAGCTGCAGGTCCAGTGACAGGAGGGAAGATACCGCAGCATACGTGCCACCTCATAGACCAGAGATGACACAGGCCTGTCCACACTCTCGGTTTTCCCACCACTTCTAGGACCATTTTTCCCTCCAGGTCACACCCAGGTCTAAACAGAGAGTTGCCTTCTATTATTGACAAATATTGAAACTCCCCTATAAAAACTAGCCTTTTTCTTTGATGGTACCACAAATGCCAGATTATTTATATAAAATGGCAAAAACAGATCATCCAGCAACCCCTTGGGGAACAGGGTGGGCAGAGAACAACACGTAGTGTTCAGCACCTGGTGGGCACGCGAAGATTATGGTGGTGTGTCTAGGCAGGAATACTTTCCGCCTCCCTCTGGGATCTTGCTAACCCTTCCCAGTGTTTGCTAACTTTCTGCCCCTTCCTGCTAGCTTCTTTGACAGTTCTCATTCTCACACCCTATTATCTAAAGGAATTTTTGACTCTGGATTGGCCATCCCTTTCCATTCCAAATATTCTGGACCACAATGATTAAAGGTCCTTCCTCCCTAAGGTCTCAGAGTAGCATCTATGTCTTGATTCTAAGCTGCATCACAATTTTGGGTTAATATTAATTGTGTGTTTTCTTCCTCTAAAAGAAGTTCCCTTAGTCTCTTCCTCCCTCCTGTGGATGGTGTTAGGATATAAGCCGATACCCCTGCTATTCTGGGTTCCTCCATGACTAAAGGCATTGGTATCCTCAGGGCCTTGCACACATCTCAGCCCTTCAATACAGGAGCACAGAGCTGACTGCAGGTCTCTTTACACAGTTTGAAGACCCAGAGAGAAGGAGGCTTACAATGTAACTCCAAATTGAGGTCCTGAACCAGAGCAAGAAACTTCTAACTTCTCATTCAGCAGAAAATGCTCATAGTTCAGCTTCTCTCTCTCAAGGGATCAGAGAACCTGGGGGACAGAAGTCGGGTGGGGCGGGGGGATTCCCCACAGCTGCTAGGCTCCGAGACAAAGAGGTGGATGGGATGGTCCTTACTGTTACACAGAGCATCATGGGTCCTCGGATGATCCACCAGATTTTCTTATTCCCATTTGTTGTCCAGCACCTAAGGTCAACAGTAGAAGCAGGCAGTAGAAGACTTAAAAACAAGAGGAGGTTGAAAGTCAAAGCCTCATGCTCTCTGGAAGAAGGATGCTTGCACTCAAGCCCTACTTCCCACCAATCAGTCCCCTGAGGGGTGGGAGAGGCAGAAGAGAGAACCCAAATCCCTTCCTGTTAGTACTGGTACAGTTTACTTTCCTTACCATTAAATTGCTCTTCAGTGGTAACAGCCTAGTGTGTATATCTTTCCAAAATTTTCCTCCATGTTCATACAAACATAAATTCCTAATTATGTAGTTTTTTGTGTGTGCTATTTGGAGGAAAAAAATGGGATCACACAATATACGTTTCAGCAATAGGCTTAAAACAGGCTGTTGAGAATCAGTGCCTAAAAGTTCCCATAATAACGAACTTGCTTTTCTTTAAGTAGTTTCATAATATTCTGCAATATAGGTATATTACAGTTTGTTCAATGATTCCCATATTGATGAGCATTCAGTGGTTTTTTGTTTGTTTAGTTTTGTTAATTTTTTTTCTCACTATGAACAATACTGCAGTAACCACTCTTGTATTTTTGTCCTTACGTACCCAGGGCTGCAGCTAACCTATACAGCATCTTTGAGCTAATTTGCATGTGTAACTAAATTAATAAACTAATTGCTATAAGATCTCTGATTATTTTATCTCCCATTCCTAAGAATATTCTAGATGGCCAAAATGAGAAGGGATAGATATTTTCTACGGTAAAATGATGTCATTCTTTGTATTTAGGCATGCCTGGGAATTACCGGCTCGTGAAAGAATAACACCTGGTGAATTACCTACCCTGTGTTCTCCAGGTGTGCACGGGCGAAACCCCAGGGTACAACAAATAGCACAGGGAAGGCTGGGGAGAAAACACAGGGAAATGTAGTTAGGAGTTGGTTGGCCAAACCTGCTTGCCTCCCACCACAGCGGATGAGGCTAACCACAGGTGGTTACAACATCAAACCTAACATCATGGAGTTGTGGACTGTGAGAGCTGGAGAGACCCAGGGTGGCACATGGCCCATCCATTGTTTTACCACCCAAGAAACCAGGGCCCAGAGGGGGAAAGCGACTGGATACTTGTCACAAAGCAGCTGAGAATAAATCCAAGGATATTAACCCGAATCTCCTGAATTACTGGCCCAGGTTATTTCCTCTGAATCCTGTAGCACCAAATTCTCCAAAGGGTTTGTGGAGGTAGGGGGTCCAAATCTAGATACTCTTGGTCATATTTTTTTAATCAGAAAACTCTTCTTGAAGACCTGGTATTATGGACTAAATGTAGGTGTCCTCTCAAAAGTCAGATGTTGAAGCCCTACCCCAGTGATGGTATTTGGAGACAGAGCCTTTGGTAGTACTTACTTAGGTTTAGCTGAGATCATGAGGGTGGGGTCCTCATGACAGGATTAGTGCCCTTTTAAAAAGAGACGAGAGAGCTTGCTTTCTCACTCTCCTCACCATGTGAGAATACAGGAAGAAGGCAGCTGACTGCAAGCCAGGAAAAGAGCCCTCACCAGAACCCAACCATGGTGAACTTCCCACCCTCCAGAACCATAGGAAATCAATGTCTGTTATTTAAACTACACAGGTATTTTGTTTTGACATTCCAAGCAGACTAATACAGTTGGGGACAGGGTAGGAGGAATATCATCAGATTCCACCAAAGACTTTCTCAATTTTTGAATGTGTCCATTGGGCTGTTGGGCCTATGGCCCCTGTGCATATGTGTGCATTTGTGTGCACACACATACCCCTCTTCAAAGCTCCCTGTCTTTGAGGACTTATATGTCCCAGAAGCAACCTCCAGTTAGGTTTCTAAGTCCAACTAAAGTCTCTATCAGGCTCCCATATTTTGATGGATCCCCAGGAAAGGAAGCTGAAGGTCAGGTCACTCACCCCAACCCAACAGCAGGTATCTGGGCCACAGCCGCCTCTCAGGAAGCACTGTGGGCTCCAGCAGCGTGTGGAGGTAGAGGCCTTCAACCAGCAGCCATAAGTAATTGGCACCCACAAAGTAATGCAAGAGAACCTGGACTGAGCGGCAGGAGGTGGACATCTGCAGAGGAAAAAACACCTGAGGGTGAGTCCAGGCTCCCCTGCATCTGATCCCGAGTCGGGGGAGAAGGGCCTCCCAGAGACAACCTCTCCCTCTTTTTTTTTTTTTTTTTTTTTTTTTTTGAGACAGAATCTCACTCTGTTGCCAGGATGGAGTGCAGAGGTGCAATCTCAGCTCACACTGCAACCTCCAGCTCCCTGGTTCAAGTGATTCTCCTGCGTCAGCCCCCCGAGTAGCTAGGATTACAGGCAAGTGCCACCACACCTAGCTAATTTTTGTATATGTATGTATATATATATATATATTTTTTTTTAGTAGACACAGGGTTTCACCATGTTGGCCAGGATGGTCTCGATCTCCTGACCTCGTGATCCACCCGCCCTGGCCTCCCAAAGTGCTGGGATTGCAGGTGTTAGCCACCGTGCCCGGCCCCCTCCCTCTTTACTCTGTTCTCTCCCAGACCTTTGCTGACCATCTCAGGGAGGTTGGCAATAATATCAAAATATGAAGGAAGGAGGGCTTCAGGTAGGTGTTCAAGGCCAGCCTCCTCCTTAACATTCTAGACATTTTTAGACAAACAAAAATGTAGAAAATTCACCATCAGCAACTGCCCTAATGGAAACACTGAAGAGTACTCTAACCTCAGTTCAATTAAGCTAAAATCAATAACTAAAAAATGTTCATATGATTGGAAATTAGAAAATAGACTTCTAAGCAATCCATGGATCAAAGAAAAAATTGAAACAAATTAGAAATTATTTCTTAACTGAATGTAAAGAAAATATTGCATGAACTTACAACATACGGTTAATACCAAACCTTATATAATAAAACGTATAGCCTTAAGTGCATTTTTTAAAAAAGAAAAATGCTGAATATCAATTATTTTAAGGATCATGTAAAAAAAAGTTAGAAAAAGAATAGCAAATTAAGCCCAAAGAAAGTACATGGGAGGAAATAATAAAAGCAGAAGTTAATGAAATAGAGAACATGAGATAAAGATAATCAACAATGCCAAAAGTTTATTCTTTGAAAAGTCCAATAAAGTTGAGAAACTTGTTGCCAACATGATCAAAGGGTAGAAAAAAGAGCAAAGATACAAATAATCAATATCAGGAATGAAAATGAGAACACTCTTACAGATCCAATGGACTTGAAAAAGATCCAAAGAGAATATCATGAACAATATTATGCCAATAAATTCGAACAGTTAGATGAAATAGATGAATTCCTAGAAAAACTCATTTGCTATAGCTGACAGAAGAAATAGAATCTGGATATTAGATTCGTAATTAATCCATAGTTTAAAACTTACCAATAAAGAAACCTCTGGGTCCAAAATGCTTAATTGGCACAATCTATCAAACATTTAAGGAAGAAATAATACTTATCTTTAATACATTCTTCCAGAGAATAGTGAAAGAGGAAACCAGCTCTAATTTGTTTTACGAGGCTAGCACAAATTTGATCCCCAACCTGACAAAGGCATTACAAGCCAATCTTTCTCATGAATGGCAACAAGGAAATACTCAACAAAACACAGTATTAGCGAACTAAAGACAGCAACTTAGGAGAAAGAAAATAATATGTCAAAACCTAGTTGGATTTATTCCAGGAATGCAAGGTTAGTTTAATAGGTTACTGCGTCATTAGCAGGATAAAGGAAAAACTATCTCAATAGATGCAGATTTCAATGTGAAAAAGCATTGCTGCTTCAAGAAAATAGTACAATTGTCCCTCAGTATCCTTGGGGGATTGTTTCTAGGACCCCCTGTGGATACCAAAATCCACAGATGCTCAAGTCCCTTCTATAAAATGGTGGAATATTTGCCTATAACCTATGCACATCCTTTCATATACTTTAAATCATCGCTAGATTGCTTGTAATACTTAATGCAATGTAAACGCTATGTGAATAGTTGTTATACTGTATTGTTTAGGGAATAATGACAAGGAAAAAAAAGTCTGTACATGTTCAGGTCAGACGCAATCACCCTTTTTATTCCCAGGTATCTTCTATCCCCAGTTGGTTAAATTCATGAATGCAGAACTCACGGATACAGAGGGCCAGCTATAATTGTAAAATACGTTGATCTGGTCCAATTCTTTTGTTTGCACATGAAGAAATTCCCACCCAAGGACATACAGCAGCCATGGTGAACCCTTCTGTTTTGGTTTCTTTCACCTGGCCTGCTCTTGGCAGGTGGTGGTTTTGTTAAGTCACGTACTACTTCTCTAGCCAGAAAGTCTTGGAAACCCTCTTATCTCCCGCTGCCCCTCCCTAGTCCCACCTGCCTGCCTTCTGATTCCCAGTACTGACCCATCAGGTGGGGAGTCCAGTGTAAACAGTGGGGAAGGGGATTACCTCTGACAGGTAGGACATCCACCCATTCTCATTGTCAGGCCTCTTGGAGTAAGAGTTGTAGAAGACGACGTCCTTCACCAGTACAGCCAGGGTTCTCAGGATGAAAGAAGCAAACAAGTTCATGTGGATGTAGTTGCGCGTGCAGTGGAGTTTTCTGTGCGAGGAGAAAACCAAATGCCTTCCCTCAGGAAAGAATGGCTCCAACCAACAGGCCTCTGCCTTTTATGCCTGTGTATCTATCACTAAAGACAGAGGGTCATAGTATAGGCTGCAGAGCTGGACTGCTGGATTATGTGACCGTAAATCTCTGTGCCTCAGTTTCGTCATTTGTAAAATGAGAGTAATAATAGTTATCACCGGCCAGGCGCGGTGGCTCACACCTGTAATCCCAGCACTTTGGAGGCCGAGACAGGCGGATCATGACGTCAGGAGATCGAGACCACCCTGGCCAACATGGTGAAACCCCACCTCTACTAATAATACAAAAGTTAGCTGGGTGTGGTGGCGCGTGCCTGTAATCCCAGCTACTTGGGAGGCTGAGGCAGAAGAATTGCTTGAACCAGGGAGTCGGAGGTTGCAGTGAGCCTAGATCACGCCACTGCACGCCAGCCTGGCAACAGAGCGAGACTTCACCTCAGAAAAAAAAAAAATAGCTATCACCTACAAAACATCTTCAACATGCCAGCCGTGTTCCAAATCATTTACATATGCAGCTACATTTGAGTATTCTTACTCCTTACCACCACTGGAGGTATAGGAATTATTATTACCCTGATTTTATAAATGAAAGAATTAAAGCAGAAGGATGAAGTCATCTGTCCAAAGTCCCAGAGCAGTAAGTCGCAGAGTTGGGATTCAGACACAGAAACTCTCAGGCCAAAGCATAGGTCTCCCAGTTTCTTCTGCCTCTGAGAACAAGAGCACTTACCTCCAGGGGTTGTGGAATGATTAAATCCGTTAATCTGTGCACATAAGTAAGTGTCCAGAAAAATGTTAGCTCTCATCACCTCTTCCTTATGCACCTGGGGTCTCCTGCAGACTCTTTGTGTGTGATGTGACATTGTGCATCCTTGCTGTCACCAGAGGAAAGCTGTGCTCCCTGGGTAGCACACACCCTGTCCTATATTGCTTTAAAGCTATTGTTATATTTTTAGTTTCTAAAAGGACCTGAGGCAGGTTCTTGTGTCTTAGGATTTACACATTCTTCTCTCTAACTAGACTGGGGGCTATTTGAGGGCAGCGACTGGGCCTCACTTTTCCCCAAGCCTTAGGCAGAACTGACACTTGGTTGTCCCAGGCTTGGCCGAAGTGACTTCCTACAGGGCTGGGCAGTTATTTTCTCCTGGCTTGGTCCTGGGACTTTGGGACAGGGCATGAAGGAAGGAGGTCACAGATAATCAGTGTGTACAAGTTGCAGAGTTCTCCCATAGCTCAAGCATGGTTCTCCCAATGGGGTAGATGGTCATGACTTTACCCTAGGAGCTGCAGAACATCTCAGGATTGAGGAGTCACATGAGGCCCAACCCAGGGCTAGCAGAGCCCAGGTGGAGAGGTGCTCTGGAGCTGGTTTCCAGGTCTCCCACACCTATGTCAAATGCTCATTCTGCCACATTATATCCGCTTACATTCCTGAGACCAGAGACAGCTTTGGAGAGCTTTCTAGTGGGTCCATAAATGTCTCACTTGCCTGATTTCTAAAAGCATGATTTAGTAAAAGGCACACAGGCTTTGGAATACTGAAAGTTTAGGGAGTGAAAGTGCTCAGATCCTAGACTGCTTGTTTGTGATCCTGGCTTCATCACCCACCAGCCGGTGATCTTGGGCAAGTTACTTCATCTCTCTATATTTCAGTTAACTCACGTCTAAAGTGGGGGTAATAATAATGCTAACCTCCCAGGAATAGAATGAATCCTAATTTGAATTAGGGATGACATTTAAACGACTTAATGCATGTAATGCGCTTAGGAGTAAGCACTTAAATTTGATAGCTAATTGACATCTGAGGGCCCTGAATTGAAATCCCAGCTCTTCCATCCATTTGTTTACCTTGGGGAAGATTCTTAATCTCTTCTGTAAAAAGAATGCCTCTGATTGAGTTGTAGTGGGAATGGGCTGTGGTGGTAATGGGTGTGATTAGGGATTTACACCAGGGCCGGGCGCACAGCAGGTGTCTAATCCAAAGGAGGTAAAGCTGTCAGGAGTCTTGGGTTCAAATTCTAGCTGTGTAGCCAACTGGCTTTATGGCCAGAGGTGACTCAATGCCTCTGATTGGGACATTGCCATCCCTTTCTTCCCCTTCTTCTGCAAAATGGGATGGATTGGACTTAGCCTCTCTCTGGTCATTTCCAGCTTTGATGATTCATGACACATCCAGCCCAGTCTTCCAGTGCCTTCTAGAGGTAGCCAATGAGCAAATTACACAATACCATAGTTCCCCCATTATCCACACTTTTGTTTTCCACTGTTTTAGTTACCTGCAGTCAATCATGGTGCACTGCGGCTCAAAAATATTAAACGAAAAACTTCCAGAAATAAATAATTAAATAAATAGTTCATGAGTTTTAAATTATGTGCTGTTCTGAGTAAAGTGATGAAATCTAACCTTGACCAGCTCCATTCCTTGATCATCACAAAAAGAAGGGTGAACATAGTGTAATGATATTTAGAGAGAGGCCACATTCACATAACTCTTATTATAGTATAGCATTATAATTGTTCTATTTCAATATTGGTTATTGCTGTTAATCTCTCACTGTGCCTAATTTATAAATTAAACTTTATCAGAGGTATGTATGTATAGGAAAAAACATGGAGATAGAACCAAACATAGGGTTGGTTCTATCCCTGGTTTGAACACTATGTTTCGTTCTACCCCTGGTTTCAGGCATCTACTGGAACTCTTAGAACATATCCCCTGTAGATGAAGGAGGGCTACTATACCTGCCCGAACACATGCCTGCAGAAGTTCTACTCACCGAAGAAACAAGAGGAGGGTGAGAGCCAGGAAGAGGGAGATAAGAGAGAAGGAGTATCCCACGGTGTACATCAGCTGCAAGGTTGACAGCAAGGCATAACGATCCACCTGAACACAGAGGAAGAGCAGACATGACCACTAAGCCATGGGGCTATGGCCACAACCCCCAGCTCCACACCCAGGGCCACCAAGGGCCTAGGCATGGACTCCCAACATTTTTTTAAATGTTTCCTTCCCCATCCTTGTTGACACCCAAATAGGGTAGTTTAGATTGCTCTCTGGTACATCTCAGAGGCCAAGGAGCCTTAACAAGTGAAGAGCCCACGGTGGGTCTCACCCCTGTGACTGGGCCCACAGCCCAGCACTGATACACCAAGAGCCACAATATCATAAAGGAATTGCGTTCAGAACAAGAGGATGCCTTGGGAATGAGAACAGGCTCTTTGCCCTTGGGAGCACTGTCCCTAGGGTCTATGGGTCCTTCCTTCTGGAGGACAGGGCCAAATTTCTGTCTGAATGTTTCCTTTGTAAAGTAAGTCTTCATAGATGACCTCTTGGAAGAAGACTCAATGAAACATTGCAATATTTTCTCTGAGTCCCAGGTCGCCTGATTGTGAACACAGGATAATTTACTAGAAATTTTGTGTTATTAAATGCGATTTTTTTGTTCTATGTTCATGAGAGATTTTGGTCTGTAGTTTTATTTTCTTGTAATGTGTTTGTCTGGTCTTGGCCACATAGCTGAGTTGGGAAGTAGTTCCTCCTTTTCAATTTTCTGGAGAGTTCATGTAGAATTGGCATTATTTTAACTTTATATATTTGGTAGAATTCACCATTGGAGTTAAATAGGTCCGAGGTTTTTCTCTGTGAGAGAATTTTAACTGCAAGGCAATTTTAATAATAGATATAGGACTATTCTGGTTATCCATTCCTTCTTTAGTGAAATTTTGTAGTTTGTTTCTTTTAAAAAAATTATTGTATCCAACATGTAGAAATTATTGGCAAAAAGGCATTCATCAAAAATCTCTTATTATCCTTCTAATGTCTATAAAGTATCAGTAGTGATGTTCCATCTCTCTTAATATAACTCCTGACCTCTCTCTCACTTTCTCTCTCTCATCTTTAATTCTTTCCCTTTTTTAAGTTCATCTTTCTAGAGGTTTACCAAATTTATTGATCTTCTTAAGTAACCAAGTTTGGCTGGTGTGATTCCGTCCTGCACAGCTGTTCCCTGGAGCAGCAGTCATTTATCTCTGTCCACCTTTTCTCCCACCTAAGTACGTGCCACCACCCCATGGAGGACTCGATGGAGATGGACATGAGCCCCCGGAGGCCCCAGAACTATGTTTTCAGTTGTGAACTAAAGGCCGACAAAGACGATCCCTTTAAGGCGGACAATGATGAAAAGGAACACCACTTATCTTTAAGAATTGTCAGTTTGAGGGCTGGTGCAAAGCATGATTGCACATTGTTGACGCAGAGACAATGAATGACGAAGGCAGTCCAATTAAAGTAACACTGGCGACTTTGAAAATGTCTGTACAGCCAATGGTTTCCATGGGGGCTTTGAAATCACACCACCCACGGTCTTACAGTTGAAGAGTGTGGTTCAGAGCAGATGCCTATTAGTGGACAGCACTTAGGAAGATGCAGAGTCAGAAGATGAAGAGGAGAAGAATGTGAAACTCTTAAGTATATCTGGAAAGTAATCTGCCCCTGGAAGTGGTAGCAAGTTTCCACAGAAAAAATTAAAACTTCCTGCTGATGGAGAAGATGATGATGATGATGAAGATGATGATGTTGAAGAAGATGATGATTTTGATGAGGAAACTGAAGAAAAAGCAGCAGTGGAGAAATCTATGAAACACTCCAGGCAAAAATGCACAAAAATCAAACCAGAATGGAAAAGACTCAAAACCATCAACACCAAGATTAAATAACCAAGTTTGGGTTTTATTTATTTATTTTCATATTGTCTTTCCGTTTTCCATTTAATTAAATTCTATTCATACTTTGTAATTCTTTTCTTTTGCTTACTTTGAGTTTAATTTGCTGAGGTTTTTTTCCTAGTTTCTTAAGATGGCAGTTAGGCCACTGACTTGATATTTTTCCAATTTTCTAATATAAGAATGCTATAGATTGGATAAAGAAAATGTGGCACATATACACCATGGAATACTATGCAGCCATAAAAAAGAATGAGTTCATGTCCTTTGCAGGGGCATGGATGAAACTGGAAGCCATCATTCTCAGCAAACTAACACAGGAACAGAAAACCAAATACCACACGTCCTCACTCATAAGTGGAAGTTAAACAATGAGAACACATGGACACAGAGAGGGGAACATCACACACGGGGGCCTGTCAGGGGGTTGGGGCCAAGGGGAGAGAGAGCATTACAGCAAATACCTAATGCATGTGGGGCTTAAAACCTAGATGATGGGTTGATGGGTGCAGCAAACCACCATGGCACATGTATACTTATGTAACAAACCTGCCCGTTCTGCACATGTATCCCAGAACTTAAAGTAAAAAAAAAAACAAAAAAAAAAACAAATGCTATACATTTCTCTCCATGACTGCTTTGGTTGCATCACAAAATTATTGGCATATTGTATTTTTGTCTTTATTTAGTTAAAATATTTACTAATTTATTTTATACTTTTTTACTTGACTCATGGGTTATTTAGAAGTATGTTGTTATTTTTTTTTTAATATTTGGGGAATTTTCCAAGCAACTTACTGTTTTTGATTTCTAATATATTTTGTGTGATTTTAAAAACTAAATTTATTTCTCTTTTTAGAACATTTTTTAAATGAGATAAAAATTTACCTTTATATGTACTATTTCTAGTGTTCTTCATTCCTTTTTGTAGATTAAAATGTCTATGTCGTATGTTTTTTTCTTTCTCTGTTATCATTTTTTGCAGTGGTGGTCTGGAGGCAGAACTCTCGGTGTAGACTTTGAGCTCTTCCAGATCAATCCCAACCACGTTTCTCTCTAGAATTATTCTCTATGGACTTCATCTAGATCCCTACAATCTTGTCAGTCTCCAACTGTGCTTGTTTGCCTCTCCTTGAAACTAAGTCTTTCCCTCTAAGACCAGCACAAACCTACCCCCTATAAGAAATCCTCCTCAAATGTCTCTCTGCTTATTGTCAACTCTTATTGTCAAAGTACTTGTGGTTTGTTTCACAAATAGGGTGTCAATTGTATTATTCAATAATGCTTTGCTTTCATTCATCTTGTCTTTCCAGATAGACTATGAAACACCTTGAAAGTAAAGAAGTGTTTTGTGCTTCTGCACACAGAGTGGTGTAGTTTCTTTAAATTGACTATTTCTGTGGCATATCAAGACATTACTGGGTCGAATAGCATGATTTATTTTATTGGAGATATGAGGCTAACACATTTAATTAAATAACCTAACTATTTGTTTCTAAATTATGATTTTTAAAACACGTGTGTGTTTTGTGCTTTCTAGGAACAAATTAGGGGACATGTCTTTTTTTTGTCTGTGTCCTAATTAGTTTGGGTTTCCAAGAAGCAGATCCTGAGACAAGAATTGGAATGCAGGCAGCTTGCATAGAAAGTGAAAAAAAAATCAGCTGGGCATGGTGCTTCACAAGCCTGTAATCCCAGCACTTTGGGAGGCCCAGGCAGGAGGATCACCTGAGTTCAGGAGTTCGAGACCAACCTGGCCAACATGGCAAACCCCATCTCTACTAAAAATACAAAAATTAGCTGGGCATGGTGGTGTGCGCCTGTATTCCCAGCTACTCAGGAGGCTGAGGCAGGAGAATCACTGGAACCCTGGAGGTGGAGGTTGCAGTGAGCCAATATTGCACCATTGCACTCCAGCCTGGGTGAGAGAGAGAGAGATCCCGGCTCAAAAAAAAAAAAAAAAAGTGAAAAAATCATCGGTAGGGTAAGGGAGCACTTAGCACAAATAAAGCATGGGTTATCAAGCCAGCTACCATGGTGGGAAGCTGGAGCTTAATCCCACTGGGGAAGCTCTGGAATCCTCAGAGTCAACTAACCCCAAGACCAAGGGAGTTGGTATAGAAACATACCAAATCTTGCCAGTCATCGATTGAAGGTGACTTCCAAGGCACATTAATTTCATGGCACTTATGGCCTGCATTTCAACGAACAAGTGGGCTTCAGGAACCAGAGAACCAGCAAAGAAATGCATGCACTTGTGGTAAGAAGTTAAGCAGCTGTGTACTGAATTGATTAGGGCAAAGGGATACGGGCAGGGCGCCAAGAGCACCTGCTACAGTTGGTTTAATTGTACTTTTTTACAGGATTTTGTTCAACTGTCCTCTACATTAAGGTCTCTAACAAAACCTGGCTACTTTCCTAGAGGCTCCAAAACATCAGGTCTCCAGCTCACGCTTAGTACCAACAGGTGAATCTTATGTCACTTAGACACCTTTATGAGAAGCTTCCTAACCAATATGTGATACGCACCCAACGAGGAAACAGGTACTCTCATACATAGTTGAAGGGAGGACAAATGTATAACCCCGATGGCAATGTCTAACAAAATTATATATGCACCTGCCTTTAATCCAGTGATCCCACTTCTAGAAATCTTCCAAAAGATATACTGCCACAAATATAAGCCAACATAAACATCTGAGATTATTCACTGTGGCAGTTTTAGGAATAAAATATTGGAAATAGGCTGGGCGCAGTGGCTCATGCCTGTAATCCCAGCACTTTGGGAGGCCGAGGTGGGTGGATCACGAGGTCAGGAGATCAAGACCATCCTGGCTAATATGGTGAAACACTGTCTCTACTAAAAATACAAAAAAATTAGCCGAGCGTGGTGGCGGGCGCCTGTAGTCCCAGCTACTCGGGAGGCTGAGGCAGGAGAATGGCGTGAACCCAGGAGGCGGAGCTGGCAGTGAGCCGAGATCACGCCACTGCACTCCAGCCTGGGCGACAGAGCAAGACTCTGTCTCAAAAAAAAAAAAAAAAAAAAAAAGAAAGAGAAAAAGATTGGAAATAACCCAGATGGTCATAGGACAGTGGCTGAACAAACTGGTGGATATGCTAAGTGAAATACTATCCAGCTGTAAGAAAGAGAGAGAAATATTTCTAGGGCAGAAAAGCTATAAAAGTTTGGGAAAACAATTGGAAAAAATATTAAATATGGATGAAATAGGCCATGTGATAAAAATCACTGTTAATTTTACTTGGTTGAAATAATGGTAATGTAGTTGTGTAGAATGATGTCCTTAATCTTAGGAGGTACCCGATGAATTTAGGGGTGAAATCTCATGATGTCTACAAATTAGTTTTGAATATTTCAGAAAGAAACAGAGAGAAAGCAAATGTGGCAAAATGTTATTACATTTTGAATCTAAATACTGGGTATATGAGTGTCTACTATATTATTCTTTTAATTTTTCTATATGTTTCAATATTTCAAAATAAAATGTTGGAAAAATCATATATAATCAATGGATATATTATAAATTATATTAAAATTTTAAACGTATTATTAAAATTATATGCCATATATTAAAATTATATACAGATATATGAATTCATATGTATGTATTAATTAAATTATGTATTTAAGAATAGACGCACTTTTTAAAGGACAAAGTAAGGCATAGTAATTTATTTTCATTCCATTAAACGCAATTCCATACTAAGTCATCTAAACACACTTGTTAATGCTTATGTGAGCGCACACACACACACACACACACACACACAATCTCCTTTAAAAGTGCCATTTAACATGCATAAGGACCCCCAGCATCTCGTTAGTTGGAAGAACATAACATATTTTGTTTGCCAAAACTCTGAAGGGCAAAGATTTACTAACACTGGCCTTTTTTGGGCAAAATTTCAACCCTCTATTAGAAACACAGGTAAACATGGCCAGAAGTTGTTTTTTTTGTTAAGTATTTGAATTCTTGGAAATATGGCCATTTGCAGAGGGGAGGAGGCAATGCTCTTGTCCTCACTTTTCCGAAGAGAGAAATCTTTACTTCCTGTTTTTGAAAGCGCAGTTTTCAAATCTTGCTTAGCGCTCCCCATTTGCTGACTTGGGGATGGTGCTACTGTGTCCGCACACTTGTGGTTCTCAACCTTGGCTGCATATTAGAATCATCTGGGGAACTTTGGAACTAGTATTGATGGCTGGACCCCCCTACAGACCAATTGGCTCAGAATTTGTGAAGCCATTCATGTAGTATTTATTAAGTGCCTACTGTATGCAAAGGCCACTGTGCACCTCAGTACTAGGTCAGAGGTTTGGGGGTGATAGTCAAATATAACTGTGACTTTGTTGTTGTTCTCAAACAGTTTGAAGCCCAGGAGAAAAAAAATACACAGTTTGCCTAATTCAAGGCATGCCATTAGCACAACTTTGATGTGAAAAAAGTCAGACAAATTCTTGAGATAAACCGGATCTAATCCAACTACAGGTGTCCTTCTGATCCCTTTAAGAGGTGTGATATCTCACACAGTAAAACTGTATAAGGATCACAGGATTCTGTTAACTCAAATCCAGTAGGAAAGTAAGAGGTTTAGACAGAATTCCCTGAGGATGTGGAGTATCCAGTTGAAGGTTCTTCACGTCTGATGGAAGATTAGACATGGAATCTTGCTATGTTGAGCAGGCTGGTCTCAAACTCCTGGCCTCAAGCAGCCCTCCCGCCTCAGCCTCCCAAAGCACTGGGATCATACTTATGAGCCACTGCGCCTTGATGGAAGATTAGGATACACTTAAGGGAGCCAAGGACATGCCAACACCCACGAGGCTCTGAAGGAACAGAGCCCGAACCAGATGGCTCCTGTTAGACCAAATAGCTAGTTTATGAAACGTGTAGAACCTGAATACGATCAGCCTTCTCTAATGGACATGAACCTGGGGCTCAACTTGTTGGCAAGAGTGAAAAAAGTCACCCTGGTAGACCCAGTGGTACGGTCATCCTGGCTTGTGAGAACTGATTGGCAAATTTTCAGGGAACCAGTTGCAAAACATGAGCATTCTTAAAAATTAAACGATGGCCGGGCGCGGTGGCTCACACCTGTAATCCCAGCACTTTGGGAGGCTGAGGCGGACAGATCACGAGGTCAGGCATTCGAGACCAGCCTGGCCAACATGGTGAAACCCCGTCTCCACTAAAAATACAAAACATTGCCGGGTGTGGCAGCGTGCCCCTGTAGTCCCAGCTACTCTGGAGGCTGAGGCAGAAGAATCGCTTGAAACCGGAAGGCGGAGGTTGCAGTGAGCCGAGATCGTGCCACTGCATTCCAGCTTGGGCAACAAGAGCGAAACTCCGTTTCAAAAAAAAAGAAAAAAAAATTAAATGATGTAAATTTACAATGAATAAATTATATTCAGAATAAAAGCAATAAATACTCCAAATTCATCACTTCCTAATTACATTTCTACATGTCTGTGTTCAGTGCCACTGGGGTTATTTTTGCTGTTGTATCTGCATGAGGAGAAACATGTCTAACGCTGCGCTACTGTGCATCCTCTGCGGTCACACTGGTAGCTTGAAATTGGCCATGGGGGGCATTAATGCCACCAAAATTGGCAAGTGTTAACAAATCCTAGCCTTTCTTTCTTCAGGAGTGGAAGCAGGGAGCCTGTTGTTAACATTTACTAACACACCTACACCACTGGTATTGACAACCAGAACAAACAAATCTTGGTCTACAGGCAACCATGTCTCCTGAGATGGAAACCCCTACTTTCTTGGACCAGTTTGTCTCCTTAGTGTGAAAGTGTTTGTTTTGTGTCTTAATCTTGGCAAGGTTTGATCGCACCACTACATTGATTAATGTTTTGTGTTAAATTCAGGTATAGAATTTTTTTATTTGTCCTCAATATTTATTATGAAAATTTCAAACATACACCAAAGTTAAAGAAACTTTATAAAGAACATCTGTATATCCACCACTTAGATTCTAACATTAAACTGTTTTTTGTTTGTTCGTTGTTTTTTGAGACAGAGTCTCACTCTGTCACCAAAGCTGGAGTGCAGTGGCACAATCGTAGCTCATTACAGTCTCAACCTCCTGGGGCTTAAGTGATCCTCCCACATCAGCCTCCCAAGTAGCTGGGACTACAGGTGCACACCACCATGCCCAGCTAATTTTTGTATTGATTTTTTAGAGATGGGGTTTCGCCGTGTTGCCCAGGCTGATCTCAAACTCCTGGGCTCCAGCAACCCTCCCACTTCAGCTTCCCAAAGCGCTGGGATTACAGGCCTGAGCTACTGCAGCTGGCCTCTAACAAACATTAAACTTTATGTGGTATCGCCCCATATCTACCCCTTGGTCTATCCCTCATATAGCAGTTTTTTAAATTACTTGCACAATCTGTATGCAATTGGTATTATTTAGAGAATATGACATATTAGAGGACCTAATAGGTTAGTATTAAGCTTCCAATATGAAATACATCAAAGCGTACTTGATTTTCAACTTTAAGTTGAAACCGTGATGAAAACAGTATTGACATATTTAGGAAAATTTAAGACTCAACATATAAAGTTGATGTATTCGATGAACTAGAATTATTTTAAAATAAGAAAGATTTTCTTATTATAACAATTATTTAACATAGTTTAAATGTCTAAAGCATATCAAATGTAATAGCGCAGCTTAAAATGTAAAAGGATATGTAAATAACTTGTTTGTGTCAACAAAAATTAATCAGAGACCTCTACGAAAGTAGACTAACTTACTAGATTTATAAATAGAATAAAAAACTATATGAAATAGCATTGACCTTAATAACTTAACAAAAAGCTAGGTTTTTGGCTTTTGAAAGTCAAATGAAATATTACACACACACACACACACACACACACGCACACACACACATAAATCCAACCAAATAGCCAATGCAGAAAAGCTACCATCACAGACACCAAAAAACTCACAATGACAAGTGAACTATGATCACAGCCCTAGGACTGAACCAGAGAGGCCAGGGAGGGAGAGAAGTGTTTGTAGGGTCCAGGGAAGATAGTCTGAAAAGAAAAGAAACGCAATAATCACAACTATCAAATGCCTATTGTGTGCCAGGAGGTGGATGAATCACTCCACATTCATTGCCCTCTGAAGCCTCACAACTAAGCCTGCAAAGCGGGTATTTTCAACCCCATCTTACGATGCCTGCAGAGAGGCTAGGTGGCTCCCGTGACAAGAATAGTGTTTCTAAAACTGAACTCCTTGCCTTCCCCTGTCCCCAGACTTTATTGTATAGAATATCTTTAACATTTAATGGGATAATATTTAAATGACTTTAGAGAGCTAAAGAATTCCAACTAAATCATGAAATAAAGCCACAATTCAGCCTGGGCAATATGGTGAAACCCTGTCTCTACAAAAAATACCAGATGTGGTGGTGTGCACCTGTAGTCCCAGCTACTCAGGAGGCTGAGGTGGGAGGATCACTTGAGCCTGGAAGGTGGAGGCTGTGGTGGGCCATGATCGCGTCACTGCACTCCACCCTGGGGAACAGAGACAGACTCTATCTCAAAAAAAAAAAAAGCCACAACTTGGGAGTGGCGGAGAGTGGGGGTGTTTTGCAGGTTCAAATTAGGGCACAGAATTAGGTAGAAAGGACCAGGCACGGTGGCCCATGCCTGTAATCCCAGCACTTTGGGAGGCCAAGGCGGGTGGATCACCTGAGGTCAGGAGTTCGAGACCAGCCTGGACAACATGGTGAAACCCCGTCTCTACTAAAGATATAAAAATTAGACGGGCGTGGTGGCACGCACCTGTAGTCCCAGGTACTTGGGAGGCTGAGGCAGGAGAATTGCTTGAACCCGGGAGGCAGAGGTTGCAGTGAGCCAAGATCATGCCATTGCACTCCAGCCTAGGTGACAGAGCGAGACTCTGCCTCACAAAAAAAAAAAAAAAAAAAAAAAAAAAAAAAAAAAAAAGAATTAGGTAGTAAAATATTGAGAATCCAAAGGGCAAGGCCTCTCCCTGTATCCTTCTCAGGGAGGGGCATTTTTAAGTCTCCTCAAGGGTCCAAGCCAGAAGCCTGCGATCTTGTTGTCCTTGGCTCTACCCTCTCACAGCCTCCAGCACCAGCCAGGTCCTACCGTTTTGCTCCTCGGTAAACCTATGAGTCCACCCTCCCTCTTCTTCCACCCCTGGGCGCTCTCTTCCTATCCGGCCTGAGTTGCTGCCACGGTTCCTGCCTGTTGTCCCTGCCTTCTGCCTCCAGCATGGCCCCAGTCTCCGATCTCCATAACTAACTCATGTGTTGACAAGTTCACTCCTCTCCAATCTGCCAGGACAAATCTGTCAACACATAAGTTAGTTATGTCCCTCTCCTACTTCAATATACAAAGTCCTAAGTCCTTCACCGGGCACAGGAGGCCTTCACCACCTACCTCTCCCGAGGCCTCTACCTCCACCTGTGTCCTCCTCAGGCCCTACCTCACCTGCCCAGCAGCACTCAAGGTGGCCCCAGAGCCCCGTGAGCTCTTTGACCCTAGGTGTGTTTCTCCCTTTTGCTCTCTCTCTTACTATGGCCATCTCCTTCTCACCCTGCAGGGCTAGGCTTGAGCAGCCTTCCTGGTCCCCTGTCTGCATCAGTTTCCCCATCCTCCATGACCCTGGGCATCTGACACTTCCCTCCCAGCAACGATCACACTGTCCCTATGCCTCACAAGATCACAAGACTCTGAGCTCCCTGGAGGCAGTATCCACGTGCTATCCCCTGTTTATTCCCAGTGCCTGGTGCAAAAACCTAACCCATCGTATATGCTTCATTACTGTTTGTGGCCTGACCATCGGAATGAAAGAAACCAAGGTGTGGCCGTAGATATCTGTCTGATCCCCAAACACCTGTTCCTCCGCTTTGTGCAGCCTCTTGCATTGCACTTTGAAGGAAAGTGAGCAGATGTTGGACAAACAGGAGGTCCTCAGGGAGAAGAGCAAGAGTCCAACGAGAAAGTATGGTGCAGAAGGATTCTGGAAAGAACACATGTGGAGAGAAGTCTGAAGCATGGATTTGTTTGTTCATCCAAAAAACCTTTCCTGGGAAGCCATGGGGACTTGCGGACCAGTTACTGTGGTAGACCCTGGGGATAGGGCAGGAGTGCCTGCATAGACCATGCTGACCGTGTACCAGGTTTTCTCCTAAGAAACTGATGTCTGATGACTAAATCCTCACAACGTCACATGTAGCAAATATGATCCCTGTGGCATGAATGAGGAAGCAGAGGCCCAAGAAGATGAGGTAACTTGCACCAGGTTCACAGCCGGGAAGAGCAGAGTCTGGATATGAATACACAGACTGTTCCTCTGAGCATGCCACAGAGCTGTGGAAAATCCCAAGGATAAGGGACGTTTCGTTTCCCCTTTTGGGGGCTTATTAACATTCTTACTATTTGGAATGGAAATAGGGCTGCCTGACCCTAGACCCTGTGCTATGCCACTCCCTCGAGGCACACAAGTCCCCTGTCACCAGTGGATCTACATTCTGATGAGAGGGCTAGATAACAAATAAGCAACAGTGAGAATTTCAGGGAGGGGCAGGTGCCATAAAGGAGTCGAAGTGGGGGGTGGTGGGTGGTGGGTCGGGGGGATGTGGCAACCATAGAGGGCACTCTCTGGATTAGGTGACCCTGGAAGATCTCTCTTTGAAGGAGATATTTGGACTGAACCCTGGATGGTGAGAAGGAGCCAGCCACAGGGGAGCTGGGACAGGTGCTCCAGGCACGGGGAACAGCAAGCACAAATGCCAGGATCAATCCTGGAAGACTGACTTCTCTTAGGATTTTGCATGTCAGCCTAGTAGTGGAAGAAATTCCATGGCCGCCACAAGGGTTGCTGCTTTGCGGGACCTTCCTTAGCTTCCCCGGGGAGAGGCGCTGGAGAAGCCTCTTTGTGTGGCCCCTGGAGCCAGCAGGCCACTGGGGTGTCCCGAAGGAGGGTGGTTTGGACCCTGGATGCCTCCTCACTGAGCTGAGCAAACTCACGTTTTGCTTGAAGCTGTGGTTCTCGGAGCATTCGGAGTCATCCTGCCAAATATCCGTGGCGTTCTCTATCGTCTGCCAAGTCCCCTGAGCCAAGCAGTGTCTGTAGGCCCTTCCTGAGCTCTCTGAAAGTAAACAAAGCTCTGGAGGAAAGGTCAGAACACACAGCCCGTTCCCCTGAGCATGCCACAGAGCTGTGGAAAATCCCAGGGAGAAGGGATTTTCATTTCCCCTTTTGGGGGCTCATTAACATCCTCACTGTTTATTTGGGATGGAAAGGAAAACATGGAAGCTTCTCAATTTTGTAACACACCATGGTCTGCTAATGTCTGCTGTGTTTACCCAAAGTCTCTGGAGTTAGAACAGCCTCTGGTGACTCAGTGATGTTATAAGCCCTCCAAGGTTCAGCCCAGCTGGGAGATGCCAATCTGGGCTCCTGATGCTTGCTAGGTGGGGCATCTCTTCCTGAGGCTCATGCCATGCAGAAGAGAAAGTGGTGGGCACGTGGCTGACAGACTGGGGCTGAAGCCGGATGCGCCATCCATGCATGAGTGTGTCCTGGGCCTAGCTCTCCTAACCTCTAAGCCTTCCTCTGTTTTCATCAGGAACTGGGGATAATAATTGGTACCAACTCTCCATGATTTGGGAAAGGATTAAATGAAAGTGTATGTGAAAATGATGAGAAAAATCCCTCTGCGCATACAGACTGCCATTGTGACTCAGTCACATCTATCCCAGGAGACTCTCCCAGAAGGTCCTCCACCTGGAGGATTAGAGGCTGAGCTTGCAAACGAGAAGTCGAAATCTGTTGGTCCTTCCTAGTCCTGGCCCTGCATATCATGGGCCAACAGTAACTATATGCTGAATTCAATGAATGGACAACCAAAGGGTATAGCCCCCTACTCCCCTGACAGCTTTGCTAGGTAGGGTGTCTAATTGACATCTCAAACAACACACTCCAAACCACACCCTTTTTCTTCTTTTCAAAATCTGCTCCACCCACCTATTTTACCACCTCAGTGGATGGCAAACCCGTCCTTCCAATCCCCCGGCCCTAAACTTCAGAGTCACCCTCCCCTTCTGTCTCTCATAGCCTTCCTCAGGTCCTCTAGCTAATCTGTCATCCCTGCCTTCATCTGTACCCAGAATCTGACTGCCACTTTCACCTCCTGCTTCCATCCTGTGGAACCATCACCTCCCACCGGGAGATGGGACTCCTCTGACAGTCCTGCCCCTCACATCTGTGGGCAACCCAGCAGTCAGAGCAAGCTGAATAAAATATCAGCCACACAGGCCAGGCGTGGTGGCTCACGCCTGTAACCCCAGCACTTTGGGAGGTCGAGGTGGGTGGATCACCTGAGGTCAGGAGTTCGAGACCAGCCTGGCCAACATGGTGAAACCCTGTCTCTACTAAAAATACAAAAAAAAAAAAAAAATTAGCTAGGCATGGTAGCGAGCTCCTGTAGTCCCAGCTACTAGGGAGGCTGAGGCAGGAGAATTGCTTGAACCTGGGAGGCAGAGGTTGCAGTGAGCTGAGATCACGCCATTGCATTCTAGCCTGGGTGACAGAGGGAGACTCTGTCTCAAAAAAAAAAAAAAAATTAGCCACACCATGTCATGCTTCTCTCCAAATCTTCCAAGGGCTTTCTGAGAAAAAGTCTTCTGGCCTTTCACGAAGCCCCCTAAGATCTGGCCCGTAACTCTCTGTTGTAACCTGTTGCTTCTCTCCCCTCTTCACCACAGCCACATCTGCCTACTTCTCTTCATGGAACAGGCCAGGCATGGTCCCCGCATAGAGCGCCATTGACCTGCTGTCTCCTTCCCTCCTGAACACCCTCCCTCTAAAACCTTTACCTTTTCTACATCTTCACCAAAATGTCACCTTGCCATCGAAGACTTCCTTAACTACCCAGTTTACAGGTGCAACACATCACCCCACTCCAACCATCCCATCCCTTCCCTTCCCCATCTTGTTTAACATAGATCACATTCAAACATAGTCTGCACTTATTTATGATGCTTATTGATAATTGTCTGTCTCTCCTGCAAGAATGTAAGCCCCACGAGGAGAGAGATCTTACTCGGTTTTTGTCACTAATATATCCCAAGCACTTAAAAATAATGCATGGCATACAACAGGTGCTTCATAAATATTAGTTGAATGAGTGAATGGTAAGAATGTCACTTGACACTTGCATTGTCTGTACTAGCCATAATGCTTTGTGCTGGGAATGCAAAGATACAAATAGGGCTCAGCTCTGGCTGGGGGAGTGCAAAGAAAAATCGCCGTAAACGATTATAAATGCTAAGACAGAAGACTGCACAGGTATAGAAGAGGCCTCAGAGGCCGGGTGCGGTGGCTCACGCCTGTAATCCCAGCATTTTGGGAGGCCAAGGCGGGAGGTTCACGAGGTCAGAAGTTCGAGACCAGCCTGGCCAACATAGTGAAACCCTGTCTCTATTAAAAATACACAAATTAGCTTGGTATGGTGATGTGTGCCTGTAATCCCAGCTACTTGGGAGGCTGAGGCAGGAGAATTGTTTGAGCCCAGGAGGCAGAGGTTGCAGTGAGCCAAGATCGGCACACTCCAGCCTGGGCAACAGAGCAAGACTCTGTCTCCAAAAAAAAAAAAAAAGAGGCTTCAGAAAGGCAGAGGGGAGAGGTCTGTAGTTGAGGGGAGAGGTCTGAGAAATCTTCTAGAAGGAGGAAAGGATTGAGCTGAGAATTACAAGGGGCTTTATAGGCAGAGGAGCATGGCCAGAGCCTGTGAGGAGGCCTCCTGGGCAGGTGTGCGAGCCAAGGTACTGAGTGGCAAGAGCTGGACCAGGTGCAGAGCCTGGGAGTTGCTCATTGGGCTGGAGTGCAGGGAACCCTGAACGTGGGGGAGAGTGCTAACGAGGTCAGCAGGGCCAGGCAGCAGGAGGTCTTGCATGCCATTTGTAGGAGTCGTGATGCTGGGGAGACAGAATGTGAATGATATTTTAGAAAGCTTTTCCAAAGGTGCCTGGAGGGGGCCAGATCTGAGGCAGGGACTGGAGAGGAGGCCATGGAGAAGCAGCAGAGGGTGCTGGTGAGCCCACAGCAGTGAGGGATGGAGGGGAGGAGGAGATGGAAGACCTGGCTACCCACTGGTTGAGATGTGGGCTTGGGTGGGGCCAGGTGGACCCTGAGACCATTCCTTAGATGGGGAAGAGAGGCGGAGAAGGAGGAGGAGGAGAAGGAAGAGGAGTTTGTTTTCCTCTCCTCCATTTTCTACTCCTCCCTGTCCCTCAGTTTCTACTCCAATTGATGACAAGTCTTGAGCATTCTGCCTCCAACACTTTAATCTTTCTCCTTCTCTCTGCCCTCTTGCCCTTGCCAGAATCCAGACCCTTAGCATGCTGTTTTCTGGGACACTGCAGTAGTTTCCCCACTCTCCTCCTTGGTTCCTCCATTCCTGTGTCCAATAGCTGCATGCTCTCAATGTCATTCTCCCAGACTACAACTTGTGCTCCATTTTTATGCCTTAACACCTTCTGGGACTCCACATAATCTTCCTCTACAGAAGAAAGCTTGAAACCCTAGTGACTAACACCCAGCTTCCTTCGTCATCAGCCCCCAGCCTCAGTCGTCAGTTACAGCTTCTGTTTGCCATCAGGCGCTCAGTGGTGCAATGTGGGCTCACTGCAGGCTCCGCCTCCCGGGTTCACGCCATTCTCCTGCCTCAGCCTCCGGAGTAGCTGGGACTACAGGCGCCAGGCGCTCCCTCTTCTGATATTACCAAGCTCCTTCCTCTCTCCCATCTCACAGGGACTCTCCTCCACTCTGTGCATTTGCACATGTTCTCCTCTGCGCCCTTCCACGGTCTCCACATTCTCTTCACTGCAGGGATCCATTTGGATTCTAAAGATTTAATGCACAGAATGGCGGGTGGAAGAGTAACTTCCCACCTCTTGCAAATCACACTCCCTTCACATTCCAGAAGCCCAAAACCTATTTTTTTTTTAAAGAGGCTTTAATTTAACTTCTTTGTAAATGTGGCTTTTTGAACACTTCATTTTCTCTTACAGTGGAATGGATCTGTGTTTTTAGCTCTTGGAAAGGGACAGGTAGACAGTGAGCAGAGAGGGACAGGTAGACAGTGAGCAGAGAAGTAGGGATCGGCTCCACATGCTACTGAGAAGTCCAGGTGTTTGGGGCCTCTAGACTTGAAGGAATCCAAGGGGCTCCTCCCTGGATTCAGCTTCAGCTCCCGCGGACCAAGCGGCAGCTGTGCGACGCACCCTGTGAGTGCCTTCTCATTGACTCCTCGGAGTGACCTTCAGAATTAGCAACTCTCCTTCCCTTCATAGATGAGGAAGTGGAAGCTCAGGGGGCTGTGGGAATTTGCCCAAAGTCTCCAAAGTGTAAAACAGAGGGACTGGGTCTGACCTCGGGGCTCCTGACTCCACACCCAGTGCTCTTTTCCCTCACTGAGCTGCTCCCAGGGGTACTGTGCCTGAGTCATTCAGAGTCCTCCGATCCAGCGAGTTATCTCTTCCACCCTCCCTAAAATCTCACATTCTCATGCTTCTTGGGATGATTCCAACTGGATTTCATCAGAGAACACTTCCATAAAATAGGTCACTAACTCTCCCACCCAGAAATGTATCTTCCTTCTAAACACTCTCTCTCTCTCTGCTCTAGAGGCGCAAAACATTGAAACTAAAGTTGCACAATGGGATGATTTATCGGGCTGAAATTAAATACAAAAGGCTATCATCTTACCCTCTCAGAAGCTGGTTCTCACCTTGTTTTGCCTGGAGCTTGTAACCACTTATCTTTCCTGAGAACAGTTTTAGTTGTCCTTGTATTTGCTGGTGGTCTGTGGTAAAAGGCAACAGGAATCTAACCAGTAATCACCTCTCTCCTCTTTCAGAATAAAATAACCAAGAGGTTGGGCTTCTGGGGCTGGTAGGGATGGGATATTATCCTGGGTATCTAAGTAATGTTTACTTCCTTGAAACAGCATCAGAGCAAGCTAAGTGGTTAAATTCTCCATCCAAGTCCCATGGGAGTTAAAAACACTAACCTATTGGCACCTCCTTTCAATGTGAATGCAAAGGGTTCTTTGAAAATCCTTCTTCCCCATCTAACAACCCAAAAATTGTGTGGAGGTTAGCATCCCAATCTTTCTCCCCCACCTGTTTCTCCTCTCCATGACAGTGGCCATTCTTACCCCCACTGCAGCCAAATTTAGTGGCTGCTGGATCTGTACTCTAGAAGCTTCAAAGTACGAGAGCTACTTATTTGTAAGATCTAAAAATCAAAACAATTGAACTCATGGACATAGAGAGTAGAAGGATGGTTGCCAGAGGCTGGGAAGGGTAGTGGGCGGCTGGGACAGTGGAGGTGGGGAGGGATGATGGGTACAAAAAATAGAAAGAATGAATAAGAGCTACTCTTTGATAGCACAACTGGTGATGATAGTCAATAATAACTTAATCGGCCAGGCGCAGTGCTCACGCCTGTAATCCCAGCACTTTGGGAGGCGGAGGCGGGTGGATCACCTGAGGTCAGGAGACTGAGACCATCCTGGCTAACACAGTGAAATCCCGTCTCTACTAAAAATACAAAAAAATTAGCCGAGTGTGGTGGGGGTGGGTGCCTGTAGTCACAGCTACTCGGGAGGCTGAGGCAGGAGAATCGCTTGAACCTGGGAGGCGGAGGTTGCAGTGAGCTGAGATCGCGCCACCACACTCCAGCCTGGGCGACAGAGCGAGATTCCATCTCAAAAAATAGATATATAATAGTAATAATAATAATAATAATAATAACTTGATCGTCCATTTTGAAATAACTAAGGAGTGTAATTGGATTGTTTGTAACTGAAAAGATAAATGCTTGAGGGGATGGATACCCCATTCTCCATGCTTATTCACATTGCATGCCTGTATCAAAACATCTCATGTACCCCACAAATATATACACCTACTATGTAACCACAAAGATAAATAAAAATAAATATATACATACATACATAAAAATAAATGGAACATCCAGGAATAGAAAAATTACAGAAGGAAGATGTATTACTGAGAGCTTAGACGGGGACTGTTTGTGGGGGAAGAGGACTTCAGAAAAGCACTTGGTTGGGGAAAATTGGTAAAAATAAGACTTATTACCTTCACTCCACCAAGGTAAGTATGAAGGGCAGGGTACAGAGACATTTCCAGGAGAAGAATGAGGCCAACACACGTACTGATCAAATGTCCCGTTACAAAATATGCCTACAGAGAGAAGAAGGGTCTGATAAACATCAGTGTTTTAGCACAGGGATGCCACTGATGGAGGCAGAGGCACCGTGGGAGCCCACCTTCCTGGCACTGGAAGCTGGTGTAACCTGTGCAGAAACCAGCATGGGTGCCCCACTCTCTAGATGAGTCAAGGATGGGGAATGATTTGGGGACCACAGGAATGCTGAATGCAGTCCCAAAGAATGTGCATTCGTCTGCCCAACTTGACCTCCGGTCAATTACGTCAATGTACACATCATGCTGATTTTGCTTTATTTGACATGAACTAAACTTTCTTTCTTTCTTTTTTTTTTTTTTTTTTTTTGGAGATGGAGTCTCACTGTATTGCCCAGGCTGGAGTACAATGGCGTGATCTCAGCTCACTGCAACCTCCACGTCCCAGGCTCAAGCGACTCTCCTGCCTCAGCCTCCCGAGTAGCTAGGACTACAGGCATGTGCCACCATGCCCAGCTAATTTTTGTATTTTTAGTAGAGACAGTTTCACTATGTTGGCCAGGCTGGTCTCGAACTCCTGACTTCAAGTTAGCTGCCCACCTCGGCTTCCCAAAGTGCTGGGATTATAGGCATGAGACACCATGCCCAGCCACCGACATGAACTAAACTTTCACAGAAACTTGGGGACAGGAGGACTCTTGGAGGCTGAGCCAGTGCCTTATGTTCCACAATCAGCTAAATAATCATCAAACCTTCACCAATTAGATCCCAGGGCACACTTACTCTGTGAATGTACAAAACGACCAGCGGAATACGGAGGATCAAGATCAAGGTCCTTGGTCACACATAACCAACACAAGTACTATATAGTCATATCTCTCCATTTGCCATATCTCTCCATTTGAGCACTAATTCAATGATCATTATTAGATACTTGGACCATCTCAGGGGATGATTTACCCTGGTGTTTGGCAATGGGAAGCAACAACCTTAAAACTCCACCTTATGGGCCTCCTGGAATCAAATGGAAGTATTTCAGACTAGGTCCCAAACTTCTAATATTACAGGCTCCTGACTCCTGGAAGCCAAGCATCATTCCCCACCATCTGCTCCCTATTAGGCTAAAATGGCCAGGATTCTGGATCACGAGGTCAGGGGATCGAGACCATCCTGGCCAACATGGTGAAACCCCGTCTCTGCTAAAAATACAAAAATTAGCTGGGAGTGGTGGCGGGCGCCTGTAATCCCAGCTACTCAGGAGGCTGAGGCAGGAGAATCTCTTGAACCAGGGAGTTGGAGGTTGTAGTGAGCTGAGATCGCGCCACTGCACTCCAGCTTGGCAACAGAGTGAGACTCTGTCTCAAAAAAAAAAAAAAAAAAAAAAGGCCAGGTTTCTGGCATTGAAATCTTAGAAACACCATGGTGCTAGGTTATGAGCTGGCTTGGGACACCATGTCGACCTGGCTGCCAGGTGTCAGCACCTGGTCTGGGTAAGGCAGTGCTCACCTGAGCTGTGCATGGCATGGCTCTGGATGAAAGCCTGCCTTACCTTGACCTCAGAAAGCAGTGTTCTCCAAAGCGAGAGGTGGTTCCTGCAGCTGATCTCAAGGCTTGACTACCACCTGCCTGGGCCCATGAGGTCTTCAAAGGGAGCTGGGAAGGGCTTGAAGCCTGGGACTGCCTTTGGGTGAAGAAAGACAGGGAGAGTTCACAGTGTCCTGTCAATCTCAAGGCCTCTGAATAAAATGATCTGAAAGCAGCCGGAGCCGGGGATTGTCCTCAGTAGGCTCAGAGGCAACGGGCCAAGGTACTTTCTTCTTTTTTTCTTTTGGAGGTGGGCATGGTGCACGTGGCTGCACCCGAAGAGTCAGCCTGCAGACAACAATTACATATTCGCTAGAATGTTCTGAACTTAGTGTATGCTTGGATAAGAGAAATGTTACTATTCAGATTTAGTTAATGCCCTGGGAGATGGGAGACCCGCGCCCCCCACCCCCATTCCTTTAACAGATTCCCAGGCTAATCTACAGCAGATAATCATGTCATATGATCAGGTGATGAGTGTGCCATGGCAGATGGCTTTTATCAAAGACGGCCACATCCACATACATGTGGTTTCATATGTTTCCTTACAGTGGGGCATGGGGTCTGTGTTTCTGTACTGTTAGCCTGAGTAGAGCTTTGTAGCTGTCTGACCAGTTGAACATGGCCAAAGTGATCTTGTATGACTTCCAAGGCCAAGTCATAAAAGGCAGTCTGGCCTCTGGTCAGGCAGGCCCTTAGAGACCCCACCATCATGCTGTATGGAAGCCCCGGCCAAGTGTAGAGGCCATGGGAGTCTTCCAGCTAAACTCTAGACATTACAGAGCGGAAACAAGCCATCCCCAGTGTGCCCTGTCTGAATTCCTCACCCACAGAAACTATGAGAAGTAATAAGTGACTAGTTATTGTTTTGAGCCGCTAAGCTTTGGGGCAATTTGTTACACAGCCACGGATAACTAATACACATGCTTACCAGAAGGTTCCTTGAGTAAGTCTCTCAGACATGCCTGTTTGTACTGAGCCCACTTCCGAGTCGTTTCCTCAAGGAGGGATCCTGTAACCTGAGCAAACAAAAACATGGTCACCCCCAGTGACCAAGCACAGATGTGGCCTTGTTGTCACTTCACACCATGATTCTCCAACCTTCCCACTGAAGTGCCCACAATGGCCCACAGCAAAGAAATGGCATTTCTTCAGCATCTTATGTTCTATCTTAAGAGTACATACAAATTTTACATTCACTCCATAACCTAATCATATTGGCTTTAATACAAATATGAAAAAAAATTAAAAACCTTTAAGTGAAGTTGACATTTCAAGAGTACGCAAAATTCTTATCCTAAACTTTTGCATCCTCCCACATGAATAGTTGCATGCTTCTAAGACTACGTAGATCCCAAAGAGAGACGCATCACACTAAGACGCAACAATGTGACAGAAGGACCAGAGGATTGCAGAAGCCTGCATTGCCCAGGTATCTGCAGGTCCAAAGTCAAAGGCTCAAAGGCTCTGAGTAGACAGATTCTCTGCTCTGGAGGTGACCATGATTTTTTCTGCTCAGGTTATAGGATCTTTTCTTTCTTTCTTTCTTTCTTTTTTTTTTTTAAGACAGAGTCTTAATCTGTTACCAGGCTGGAGTGCAATGGTGCGATCTCAACTCACTGCAACCTCTGCCTCCTGGGTTCAAGCGATTCTCCTGCCTCAGCCTCCCCGAGTAGCTGGGACTACAGGTGCGCACCACCGTGCTCAGCTAATTTTTTTGTATTTTTAGTAGCGATGGGTTTTCACCATGTTGGGCAGGATGGTCTTGATCTCCTGACCTCGTGATCTGCCCACCTCAGCTTCCCAAAGTGCTGGGATTACAGGTGTGAGCCACCGCGCCTGGCCCGGATCTATTCTTGAGAAGTCAATTCGGAAGTGGGTTCAGTACAAAGAGAAGTGTCTGAGAGACTTCATCAAGCTACTGAGGAGTTGGGAGTTTTTTCCTTTCTAACGTTGACTATTTCATGCCACTGAACCTTGGAAATATAGCACGTTTTGGGCTTTCCAGATAACTGGGCTGTGTAACAGCTTCTAGTTGTGTACCTGTACCACTTCTTTTGATTTTATTTTTATTTTATTTATTTACTTTTTTGAGACAAGTTCTCCTCACTCTGTTGCCCAGGCTAGAGTGTGATGGGACAATCTCCGCTCACTGCAACCCCTGCCTCCTAGGCTCAAGTGATCCTCGCACCTCAGCATCCTGAGTAGCTGGGACTACAGGCACATGCCCCCATGCTCGGCTAAGTTTTTTTGTTGTTGTTGTTTAGATGGAGTCTCCCTCTGTCACCCAGGCTGGAGTGCAGTGGCGTTATCTCAGCTCACTGCAACCTCCGCCTCCTGGGTTCAAGCGATTCTCCTGCCTCACCTCCTGAGTAGGTGAAATTACAGGCGTGGCTGGCTAATTTTTGTATTTTTAGTAGAGACAGGGTTTCACCACGTTGATCAGCTTGGTCTCGAACTCCTGACCTTGTGATCCGCCCTCCTCAGCCTCCCAAAGTGCTAGGATTACAGGCATGAACCACTGCACTGGGCCCTCATTTTTGTATTTTTTGTAGAGACAGGATTTCGCTACATTTCCCAGGCTGGTCTCAAATTCCTGGGCTCAAATGATCCTCCTGCCTTGGCCTCTCAAAGTGCTAGGATTACAGGCATGAGCCACTATACCTGGGCTTCTTTTGATTTTAAAAAGGGCTTTCTCTTCTATTGTTCATCAGGCACCTATTGTGGGCCAGGCCTTGTGTTAAGGAGGAATTAAAGAGGATACAGAGATGAGCGAGACACAGCCCCTACCCTAAAAAGGACTTAGAATCTGTTCTAGAGACGGCAGCTATATAACTGGCTGGCATGCAAGGCCAAGGGCATTCTGGTCTGTCGTCTTTGGCATCCCTACGATGCCAAGTGTGGCTCAGTTCTCTCCATTAGAAACCTGAAACCAGGAGTCGTCCACAGCAGCTCCCTTCCCCTTGTCCAGGTTCCATCGACCCCACCTCCTTAACGTCTCTCCTGTCCAACCCTGTCTTCCTTTCCTCCTCTGGCCTGGTGCCACCATCCACCCTCCACACTGCTCCACAGTGACAGGAGAACAGGCCAGAGCTGAGCACAGGGCTCTCCTGCCTACAGTCTTCCACTTAAGGCCTGTGGTCTCAGGATTTAGCATCTCAGCCATCCTTGTCCCAAGTCGTGCTCCTTCATGACTTCTCATCCTTGCACTTCCCATTGGCACTCGCTTCTGCCCTCATTTTCACCTGGTGAACTCCTAGTCATCCTTCAAGGCCCAACTCAAGCCTAGAGACCCTTGGCCACACTTAACCACTCATCTCCCTGAGTCTTGAGCTTGTCACCCTTCCCCTGCATGACCGATCCCTATGGCCCATCACACTGCAATGTCATTGGTGGGCCACTTATCCATCTTCCTCCCTATCCCATAAGCTCCTTGAGGACTGAGAGGTGTCTTTCATCTCTGAATACAAGCCCCCAGCACAGGGCTGGAGTTAATGCTCTTGCTGTCCTTCATTTCCAGAGGCTCACTTGTGAGACGGAGGATGAGGAAGGGTTCAGTAAATGATCTGGGCTAATATCACCCAGTTAATCATTTGGCTTTAAGGTTTTCTCTCTTCTCACAAGGGGCAACAAGCTCAAATGTTTTCTAGGGCCAGGTAGATTTAAGGTTATCCCAAAAGAATGAGGTAGGACTGGTATACCAGTAGGGAGTGCAGCAACAATCACACAGCCGACTTTTTGAAGAAGAGCTAGTGTGGTCATCACTAGACCAGCAGTTCCCAAACTTATTGACTCAGTAATTTTTCCACAGCACTTCTAGGCCAAAAGATATATCTAAAGCCCCACTTATTAAGTAAGTAAGTCCAAACAACTTAATAAATATTTATGCCTTAACAGCTTAGTGCCTGCTGTCCATTGCACAACTTCTCAAGCTTTAGGATCAGATCGGATGCCACCACCTTTATTTCCTGTTCCACACTGATTTTTGTGCTATACTTGCTTTGTAATCACAGGACCTGTGGAAAACCCAGCTTTGCAAAGAGACAACATCATCAAAAGGGAGGGGGTGAGATCTAATGTTAACACCATGAATACCTTAAGCTAGTAGTTTGCATGGTGTCTGGAAAATGCTACATATCACTGTACTTCCCTTGAAAAATTAAAATATCTCATAGCACCCCTGTGAGTTCACAGTGGTGCCCTGGGGTATACAAGCACACAGTTTGAGAATCATGCAATTATCCAATAAGTAATAATAATGATACAATAATTGGCATTTATCCCTTGATTTCAGTTTCCTATGAGTTTGGAATCTCTATTAATATCTCTCTCTGAGTTACGGCCCAAGAGGAAGCATGTAAGTTATTAACATATTGTTTAAAGAAGTAAACATCTTTAATGGCACCATAACTGACTCTAAATCATTTTTACAAATTCAGCAGATGAGTTGCTAACCAAATAATAAGCTTCTAGAATCCTCCAAGTCATCAGTGTAAGATCCATTGGTGGACAAAGTACTATTTATGACCCCAGGGACCTCTCCGGGACCTGATTAAGGAAGAGACAATAAAATCAGCCTCTGGAGTAATGTTCCCCTATCCTCCATTCTTTGCCATGGCCAATGGCCATAGTCAAAAGCAGAAAAACAAACTAAAACTAAAAAGTACTGAATTTTGTCAGTCTAGGAGAGCTGGACAAACTCAGACTGTCTTCCCTTGCCCTAAAGACATAAAAAACACAAGGGGTACATCCAAGTTCAATCACAGCCAGATTCCCAAAGTCATGAGGAAAGAAGATATACGGGTGAATTTTTTTCCAACTGGAAAAGTCCAGCTTGACCTTGATTCCTTTTCCCTTGCATAGGCAACCAGCATCAGCAACGAACTTGGCCGAGAAGGGATTAAGGAAAAGGAAAGAAAAATCCTTATACTGACTCTCTTTAAATAAATCTGTTTTTCTTTGTTAGAGAAGGAATACACTTCACTGTAGATGAAATAGAAATCACAGCTATGCAAAAAGGGGAGAAGGTGAAATTATCATCTCATTACTCAGAAATTACCATCTACTTCCAGATTCTTCTCTCTGTGAATGAAAGACACATTCATTGTCTTTCTTTTCTTTTTTATTGTGACTTCAAAGGGAATAATCTTGTTTCAAAGCCTTTTATGTTTCATTAGAAGACCAATATTGTGAATATATTTCCATTTCAAGAAATAAATAATAAATGAAGTAAAGCATCCTTTTAACAGCTACATAACATTCTATGAAAAAAAGTGATATAATTTAGTTTTTAAATCCTCTAGCGTTGAATGCCTATGTTGTTTTAAGATGTTTGCTGACGTAAATGATGCTGTGATTAAAATCCTCATAGTTGAACATTTGAGAGCACATCTTTATTTCTTAGAAATTCTTTGAATTTGAATTTCTGGGTCACAGAATGCACATAGTTTTAAAGGTTTTTGACTGCCAAACTGTCTACCCTCACCAAAAAAAAAAAAAAATTAAAAATTTTAAATATGCACCATTTTACCCTCCTGCCATCCATGTATAAAAGGGCCGCAATGTACTTCTCAAAAATCCTTAGATAGTTTATGTTTTTGATGCCAAAGCAACTGCTAAATAACTTAAACGAGTGTGGGAGAGAGTGGTGTGGGGATAACACTACCTCCCTGCTTGAATTTAGAAACTAAACTATCCCTGAGAATTTCTCATTAAGTGAAATTTTTGAAGACTTCCTGCCAGAACACACACCACAGTCATTTATATTCCATGCAGGGAAAGAGGCTATGAGCAGAATTTATCATGAAAGTCTTCACAAAGCCTTGTAATATAAACATCTAGAAAAGGAATATGGGGTTAAGATGGAGAACCAAGAGTAAGGCCATCAGAATTACAGACACACCCGGAGGACAGACAGCCAGAAATGCTCTGAAAACGCAGACTGGGTGGCAGAGAGTGGAAGCAGACACTGCCAGCAGACATGTTATTGATTATAAAAATACCAGACTGAAAGGGTCAAGGTGTGGCTTTCTCAGCCTGGTAAGCCGGCCCGAGGCTCTGCAGATTCCGCTGTTGTAACATAAATATTCATACATCAGCAACTCCCAAGAGCACTCCGGAAGAAAAAACACAGGGCTTCAAACACCCCGGGTAGGCACAACGGCTACAGTGCTCAGGAGCTACAGCATCGAACGCAACCATTTAACTCCTCTGAAGCTTAATTTGCCCATCTGTAAAAGGGGCTCAGTAATAACACTCTTCTCAGAGGCTTGTGTTGAGGATTAAGTAAGATGATGTGTGAGGAAGCATTTTATGATAATATCCTGAGCGCTGTCTCAGGGCTTGGCATGTGGTCAGCAATCCACATTTGTGAACAAAACTACATGATAAGCTGGATACACTCACTCAGTGTTGATATGAGATATCCAGAGAATGGAAGCAAGGATGAATGTTCTGAACCAACCCTCCCACCAAATGGTCCCACCACTAACACATTGAAGTCCTGGGACCAGAGGCAGGCCAGGGCCACCTTCCTGAAGGATGTTCTGGTCACTGGGGGAGAGGCTGCCAAGATGGCAAGAATTCCATGAAACCATTGATTGGGCTCACATTTACAATCCATGAGGGCCTGAAGGCAGCCTCTAGGGGAACCTGGATGTAGGAAATCTGGCAGGGGTTATCTGCCTGTCTAGCCCCAGGCTTGCAACAAAGAAAGCCTGAGGTGAACCCTCATGAGACCTGGTACCACAGCCTGCCCTACATGGGGATTGGAGGGGTTTAGAATTCCAAGACCATGAACAGGGACTCACCCTGCCCATGGAACGAAGGAGGAAGACAGCCATTCCTTTTTTTTTTTTTTTTTTTTGAGACAGATCCTCACTCTACTGCCCAGACTGGAGTGCAATGGCGTGATCTTGGCTCACTGCAACCTCCACCTCCAGGTTCAAGCAATTCTCCTGCCTCAGCCTCCTGAGCAACTGGCATTACAGGCACACACCACCATGCCCAGATAATTTTTGTATTTTTTAGTACAGACGGGGTTTCACCACGTTGGCCAGGCCGGACTTGAACTCCTGACCTTGTGATCTGCCCACCTCAGCCTCCCAAAGTGTTGGGGTTACAGGCGTGAGCTACCGTGCCCAGTCTGAGCCATTCCTTAAGCTACTTTCGTTATTCAGACAAGTGGAACTGGGGTTCCTTCCCATCATCCTTTTATACTGCCCATAGCCCAGTATCCAAATGGAAACTTGGAAAGAGGACGAAGGTCTAATCTTCTTGGATAGAATAAAGCAAGCTACCAGCATGCCCAACGATAGAGGATAGTTAAAGACATTACAATAAACCCTTAAAGCCCTTAAATATTATACCATGGATCTACATTTACTAACATGGACGAATGTTGCTCAACTTCTCCGAGACTCAGTTTACTCATCTGTAAAAGGGGATTAACAAGAGAACCTCAGTCTATAGGGTTGCTGAGAACACAGAAGGAGAAAATATGAGGAACGGGGGCACCTGGCACTCAACCCAGTGCAGAGCAAGTGCTCCATAGTGATGTCAGCTGTGTTATTAGTGTATTTTGTTATGAAGAAAGCAGATTACAAAATAATATTTATAGTATGTGCCTGTGTTTGTTTAAAAAAAAAAACTGTATGTAGGCCTGGTACAGTGGCTCATGCCTATAATCTCAGCACTTTGGGAGGCCGAGGCGGGTAGATCACTTGAGGTCAGGAGTTCAAGACCAGCCTGGCCAACATGGTGAAACCCCATCTCTACTAAAATACAAAAATTAGCCGGGTGGTGGCACGTACCTGTAATCCCAGCTACTCAGGAGGCTGAGGCAGGAAAATCACTTGAACCCGGGAGGCAGAGGTTGCAGTGAGCCAAGATCTCACCACTGCACTTCAGCCTGGGCGACAGAGCGAGACCCCATCTCAAAAAACAAACAAACAAACAAACAAAAAACTGTATGCAAACAATGGTAGAAAAATGTCTGGAAGTATAAGCCCCCAAATGTGAATGAGGATGATCTGCAGCTGTTGGAAGTAGAGTGATTTGTAGTTTGCATTTCACTTCTTTGAATTGTATTTTAAAAAAACAATTAGCGTTCAACATTTTTGTAATGAAAGGAAAAAGGAAACAGAAGGGAAAGGAAAGGAAAGGAAAAAGAAAAATGGATTTGCTCAACCTAAATACTCAAAGCTGGGAGAATACTGAAGACAAACAGAAGGATATGTGCAGCAATTGTAAATGCTATTTGCAGAACTCACATTGACGTGGGGAAATGCTTATAATATGATGCGGGGCTGGTTGGGGGGACCAGGACACAACATGTTTTATGCTTCCTAATATCAGCTGTTGTAAAAAAAAACAAATGCATAGAGAAAAGGTTTGAGGACAATATGCCAAAATATGAACAGTGATTACCTTTGAATGCTAGGATTATGGCGGCTCATTATTTTCTTAATACTGTTTTCTCTTTTCCAAATTGCTTACATGAGGCCTAAATTGCTTCTTTAAAAAAAAATCAGGAAATACAACTGATAATAATAATAATAATGAACTGCTCTTACTTGCTTGATGGAAACCAGCAGGACCAGAGTGAGGAAGGGCCTCCCAGGGGCCCAGAGAGAGCACTTCCTGTGGAAGGAGAGAGGACTGGTCCCCCAGGGGGCAGGGATGCCCATGGGCAGCTCGTGGACGCCAGGCAGGAGTCCCGCGCTTCCTCTCCCAGGCCCTGCCCTGCTCGATCCCAGCTTCATCTTCCTCGTGCACCTTCACAAGTAGGGGTACATCTCTCTAGCCGTCCAAGATGCACCGCAGGCAGCCTCCTCTTGCATTCCTCTTGGTCCACAGAGGAAATGTTTGCACAAATCCTCTCCACGCTGCGCCGAGAGTGTCTGAGGCGGTCTAGAGCAATCTACGGAGTCTTCAGAGTTCCTTCTCGGCCCTGGCTCATCCCCCGCCCCTGCCCCCCCAAAAGCAGGGAGATTTTTCCCAGACCTTCCCTAAGTCAGCTGTGCTTTCTGGGACTTCCTTGACAGGCTGAGGAGAAAGAACAAGGCGGTCAGCGGGCTCCACCCTGAAGGTTCTGCTCAATGCACGAAGCTGGCTGAGACAGGCTGGGGTTCGAGCTACAGAGGAATGGCTGGCAGAAGGCGATGGGGCTCGAGCCAGTTTAGAGGCAGGTGTCTTTTTGAGGCAGGGTATTTCTTTCTAAGGCATTAAGCTTGTCCAGGCTGGGCTGAGGCTAACCACAAAGGCAAAATCTCCTCTGGGTCCTGTTTATGCAGAGACTGCAGGAGAGGTGGTTGCTCAGCTCAGGAGAGAACAGCTCCCAGCCCAGGCCATGAAGCAAAAACCCAATCAGCGGCGTAGGTTATGCCTACACAATAGCAAAACAGTGTGTTGAAAAGTGCAACATTCACTCATCTTGAATGCCCACTTGTTCTAAGCACATGTGGCTCAGCCCACCTGACAGACCCTTTTATGGAATTGATGATACATCACTTACTAACCAGCACAGGAGTAGGCTGTCCCCACAACTCACATTGACAACGTCTTTTAACCCACCATCCTATTTCGCACATCCTGACAATAACCCCATGAGGATACGATGAATTCTCCATTTGACAGCTGAGAAACATTGAGGCTCAGAGAGGTTGGATGGCTTGCCCAAAGCCACACAGCAAGTAAACAGCAGAACCGGATAGGCAGGTCTTCTGACCAGAGTTGCTTGAGCACAGGTACTTGGGAGGGTGCCCTGTCCTGCCCCTGCCCTCTCCGGTGAGTTCTTAGCAGGCTCATCGCCATGCCTCCCAAAGGCTCTGCTTGGAACTTCTTACTCCACCTCTCCCAGGCCAGCTCCCAGCGTCCCTGCAATGTCTCCCAGCCTCCCAAATTGGAGGCCCAGGTGGAAGATGTCTTGATTGGTTGGAACAGTGAGTCAGCAAGAGGCAAGAAGAACATGTTTTCACTTCGTTTTTGGTTTTGTTTTTGTGTTATTTTTTCCTTCCCTCTTCAAGTCAAACATAGGAACTCATCCTGGGTAACTTTTCAACTGAATGAATTCTGAACAGTTGGGAAAAGCAGCCATGCTTTTCTTAATAGACATCCCTAAAAATCTTAAAAACTCCATGTGACAAGATTTTAGACCTTAACAATGAAAAGCTCAACTAGAACAAAGACCCTAGAAATGGACTCAGAGTGGTGTCACCTCTGGAATTGACGTGGTCATCTCTCTGGGATGGCAGAGAGCAGGATGGAGTGACCCAGAGGGAGAAAGTACCCAAGGGATGGACTTTGGTCATTGAATGTGGCTGCAACTCCGTTCTGTGAGTGCTCATTAAAGATCATCTTCCAAGTTGCATGCTGGAAAATGGTCTGTCTTTAAAGAAAATACCTGCTTTGCAAGAATATTCCATCTCATCTCTTGCAACTTTTTCTCAAAAACATCCTTTATTTCTGAAGGGATGAAAGTTGGGGGCCACACACGACTTCCCCACCCATTGGCTGGTTGCCCTCTAGCGATGGAACTTAGTAAGGCCTCTTCCCTTGAGACTGGACACCCCACCAGGCCAGTGAGAGCACAGGACACAGGTGCCCAGACTCGGCCAGCGGCAAAGTATAGATGGAGTGATATTAACCCAGTATCACTGTCTAGCCCAGGCACATAGATTCCAGATTCTGTCTGGGGGGTATTCAGGAGGTGTCTAACACATCATCAAGAGCCTGTGTGTTTTCAGGATGCTCTGCAGAATCTTCTGCCCTCACACCTTCATCAGTGTCCTCTGCCCGAGGAGTTCCTTAAAAATCTTCAGCATCACTGCTCCTGCCAGTGCCCCGTTCAGTGAGGGCCTGAGCGATGGTGCCCAGGGTTCTGTCTTCTAGCATCTGCGGGCCCCTGGCCTCAGAACCCTGCAGCCAAGTGGGATACATGCTGCCCTCCCCATTCTGCACAGCACCTTGGCCCTGAGGTAGCCTGCCTGTACCTCGCATCACCCAGCATCCCTGGAACAAGCATCTGTTTTCCGTAGTCCTTCTCTACATAGAGCTGGACAAGAAACAGGCCTATGAAGTCCTTGGGATTCCCTGATTCCGGAATCCAACACTAAGGACCTGCTCCATGCAAAAGGCAATGGTGAGGCTGTCTCACCAAGACAGCCACCCAAACAGCCCCTGGTCTTCCATCAAAACCAGCACCCTCCACAACAGCCAAAAGGTGGAAAAAACCCAGGTGTCTGAATAGATGAACAAAATGCTATCCAACAAACACAGGGAATATTATTCTGCCTTGAAAAAGGAAGGACATTCTGACACATGCTACAACATGCATGAAGCTTGAGGACATTATGCTAAGCGAAGTAAGCAAGTCACAAAGGGACGGATACTGTATGAGTGCACTTACAGGAGGCACCTAGAGTAGTCAAATTCATAGAAACAGAGAGAAGAATGGTGGCTGCCAAGCAGAGGAGGAAGGGCAATGGGAGTTGTGTGATGGGTACAGATGATGAAAGATGAAAAGAGTTCTGGAGGTGGATGGTGGTGATGGTTGCACAACACTGTGAGCGTAGTTAATGCCACTAAACTTTGCACTTAAAAATGGTTGAGATGCCAGCCTGACCAACATGGTGAAACCCCGCCTCTACTAAAAATACAAAAATTAGCCGGGTGTGGTGACGTGCGCTTGTAATCCCAGCTACTCTAGAGGGTGAGGCAGGAGAATCACTTGAACCCGGGAGGCGGAGGTTGCAGTGAGCCAAGATTATGCCACTGCACCCCAGCCTGGGCGACAGAGTGAGACTCCATATCAAAAAAAAAAAAAAAAAAAAAAAAGATTGAGATGGCCAAGTGTGGTGGCTCATGCCGGTAATCCCACACTCTGGGAGGCCGAGGCAGGTGGATCACCTGGGGTCAGGAGTTTGAGAACAGCCTGGCCAACATGGTGAAACCCCGTCTCTACTAAAAATACAAAACTTAGCCGGGCATGGTGGCGGGCACCTGTAATCCCAACTACTTGGGAGGCTGAGGTAGGAGAATCACTTGAACCCAGGAAGTGGAGGTTGCAGTGAGCCAAGACGGTGCCACTGCACTCCAGCCTGGGTGACAGAGTGAAACTCTGTCTCAAAAAAAGAAAAAAAAAAGGTTGAGATGGTTAATTTCATGTTATGTGTGTTTTACCACAATTTAAAAACAATGCCCTCTGGCTGGGCACGGTGGCTCACGCCTGTAATCCCAGCACTTTGGGAGGCCGAGACAGGTGGATCACGAGGTCAGGAGATCGAGACCATCCTGGGCATCATGGTGAAACCTCCTCTCCACTAAAATACAAAAAATTATCCCAGCATGGTGGCATGCACCTGTGGTCCCAGCTACTTAGGAGGCTGAGGCAGTGGAATCACTTGAACCCGGGAGGCAGAGGTTGAGGTGAGCCAAGATCATGCCACTGCACTCCAGCTTGGGCAACAAGAGAGAAACTCCATCTCAAAAAAACAAACAAACAAACAAACAAAAAAAAACAATGCCCTCCCGCACACCTACCTCCTGGGGAGAATGGCAGGGCCAGCACCCTTGACAGGAACGTGCCCCGGCTCTGTGCCTCTGGATCTGGTGTGGCAGCACGTGCAATTCTCCAGGGGGACGTGAGAGGAGGCTGTGTGAGGATGCCAGATGGCAGAGCTGAGGGGCAGGTACCGTGACGAGGCAGGAGGAGGGGGCCCCACAGCTCATCCTGCCCCACGCACCTCACTCAGCCATGGACAGGGCCAAGCAGCAGCAGGCGCTGCTCCTCCTCCCTGTCTGCCTCGCCCTCACCTTCTCCCTCACCGCCGTGGTCAGCAGCCACTGGTGTGAGGGGACCCGACGGGTGGTGAAGCCACTGTGCCAGGACCAGCCGGGAGGGCAGCACTGCATTCACTTCAAACGGGACAACAGCAGCAATGGCAGGATGGACAACAATAGCCAGGCTGTCCTGTACATTTGGGAGCTGGGTGATGACAAGTTCATTCAGCGGGGGTTCCATGTGGGGCTCTGGCAGTCCTGCGAGGAGAGCCTCAACGGTGAAGGTGAGCAAAGCCTGTAGATTCTGGGGAAGACAGGTGCGGGATGGGGCAGGGGCTCTGGAGCCAGGCTGTCTGGGTTTGAATCCTGCAGATTCTGGGGGTAACAGGTGCGGGATGATGCAGGGGCTCTGGAGCCAGGCTGTCTGGGTTTGAATCCTTCATCTCCACTGATTGTCTAGGTATCCTTGAATAAGTCCCTTCACCTCTCTGAGCCTCAGTTTTCTCATCTGTAAAATGGGAATGATAGCAGTACTTACCTCCAAGAGTGATTGTAAAGATGAAATGACCAGATTCACATACAGAGCTTGCAACAGGGCCTGACACATTGCAAGTGTTTATTAAAATTAGTTTCTCGTTTGTTCTTGTCACTGAATCCCTGGTATTTAAAATCCTTTGGGAATGAAAGGTGGTCCCGACCCAACTCGAAGGTGCATCCCTGTTATTTATCCTGCACTTGGAATGATCTTGGAGTGAATCTTTAAAAACAGAAGTGTTTTTACCTCTCAAAGAATTGAGGAGGGAGGAATTTGACTCTTCCATATTTGGCAGCCTGGCTGTAAGCCCGCGTTCAGGGACAGAGTACTCTTCCCTTTCTGCTTGGGACGCAAAACCTCCAAGGCAGAAAAAGGAGGAATCCTCCCATCCCCATTTCTTTCCTGACCTCAGCTTATTACAGTCAATTTCTTGCACAGTTTTTTAACTTTTTCTGGAGTTTCTAATTGCCTTTTCTTTTTCCATTCTCATAGCATTTGATTTTTGTTCCTGAGGCCTAAGTAAAAGGCAACAAGAATGAAGCCCCTGAGGCCCAGCCTGGTGGCTCATTCCTATAATCCTAGCACTTTGGGAAGCTGAGACAGGAGAATCACTTGAGACCAGGAGTTACAGACCAGCCTGGCAACATAGGCAACATAGTGAGACCTCTCTTTACAAAAGGTTTTTTTAAAAAATTAGCTGGACATGGTGGGGTGTGCCTGTGGTCCCAGCTACTCTGGGAGGATCACTTGAGCCTGGGAGGTTGAGGCTGCAGTGAGTCATCATCGTGTGACTGCCCTCCAGCCTGAATGATAGAGCGAGACCTGTCTCAAATTAAAAAAAAAAAAAAAGGAACACTCAGAGGTGCTGTATGTCCCTCCCTTCCACCCTCTCTCCCAGTGGTGGCCAATGTGGGGCAGTACCCAGCCTGACTGAACCTCCCATGTATCCAGGCCAGTGCCTGTGTCTTGTGCTTTAAGTGTGGTACAGACACTGCAATAGTGCCTGGAGCTAAGGCTATTTAGGACCTCCACAGTTCCTCGCTTCTCAGGGAGTGCTATCTTCCTATGAGTCTCTTCCCCACCTTCATGGACAGAGGCAAAAGTCTCAGGACCCTGCATCCTGGAGGATTTCCAAAACACTTCCAGAATTTTGGTTTGGAAACTGTATTCACCATACTTATAGGCAAATCACTTGGGAAATTCCATCTCCTTTCCAAGTTCTCATATGAGGACTGCCTATAGTACTTCTGTTTCCACAGCTCTATATAGGCGTCACACCAGTTATCAAATGTATCACCCAAGGAACTTGTAAAAGAAATATCCAGGTGCCCAGTCCTGGAGGTTCTAATTTAAGAGAGCCGGGGTGGAGTCTAGAGGTCTGTATTCTTATTTTATTTTATTTTATTTTATTTTTTATTTTGAGATGGAATTTCCCTCTCGTTGCCCAGGCTGGATTGCAACGGCGCAATCTCAGCTCACTGCAACTTCCACCTCCTGGGTTTTAAGTGATTATCCTGCCTCAGCTTCCCCAGAAGCTGGGATTACAGGCATGAGCCACTGTGCCTGGCCAAAATTTTTTTTTAAAGAAAAAGAATACAGGCCAGGCGTGGTGGCTCACACCTGTAATCCCAGCATTTTGGAAGGCTGAGGCGGGCAGATCACCTGAGGTCAGGAGTTGGTGAAATACCATCTCTACTAAAAATACAAAAAAATAGCTGGGCGTGGTGATGTGTGCCTGTAATCCCAGCTACTAGGGAGGCTGAGGCAGGAGAATCGCCTGATCCCAGGAGGCAGAGGTTGCAGTGAGCCGAGATGGTACCATTGCACTCCAGCCTGGGCAACAAGAGCAAAACTCTGTCTCAAAAAACAAGCAAACAAAAAAAAGTTTTAACCAAGGTGATATTTACTCATAGACAAGAGATGAACTCATTTTGAAAAGCTACTATGAAAAATCAACACTCCCTTGCCCCTTTCTTCTCCATAACTTAGTCCCACACTTCAGGAGAAACCACAGTTAACTTAAGTGTTTCTTCTAGTATTTTCTTCCGTGTTTTCAAAAACTATGGTTACATAGCCATGGCTTCATCTTAGACATTACCTATTAACTTCCTGTTATAATAAATAGGATTTAACTCTCTCATACCACAACATCCCACATACCCTCTGTCATCTTCCTAATAAAGTTATATCGCTGCTTTGTTGAAATCAGTAAGCCAATAATATATTTTGACTCTATCAATATTGTTCATTATAGCATCAAAGTAGGTGCTGTGGTGATGTTTATTGCTGTGTTCAGCTTTTTGCTTTTTCTGGAGTTGCCCATTGCCTCTTCGTTTCTGATCCTTATGGCACTGGTGTTTTATTCCACTCAATCCTATTTTATCTGGTGTTACTCATGTTTCTAATAAGCCCCCCTGGTGATTATGACAGACGCTAGAGTCTGAGGAGCCCACCTCAGTGTACATCAAAGACCTCTGGAAAGAAGGGAGTCAGCACAGTGCAGAGTGAATTCACTGACAGTCATTTCCTTGTCAGGCACAGGGCCAGGAGGATGGGAGGAGAGAAAGGTGAGTAAGCCCCAGTGCTGAGAGCAAGGATCCAGTGGAAGAGACCCACCTAAGGTACAAACGAACAAGGACAAATATGATAATGGTTATAACAAGGATGCACCTATGATGTGGAAATGGAAACGGGGGTGATAGAGTTTGGATAAAAAGTCATCCGCCTTTGTTAGAGGTGGAGGCTGGTGGGAGGTGATTGGATTGTGGAGGTGGATTTACCACGAATAGTTTAGCCCTGTTCTTTTGGTGCTGTCCTTGCAATAGTGAATGATTTCTCACGGGATCTGGTCGTTGGAAAGGGCGTGGTGGCTCACACCTGTAATCCCAGCACTTTGGGAGGCCAAGGTGGGTGGATTGCCTGAGGTCAGGAGTTCGAGACCAGCCTGGCCAACCCAGTGAAACCCTGTCTCTACTAAAATACAAAAAAAAAAAAAAAAAAAAAAAAAAATTTAGCTGTGTGTGGTGGTGTGCACCTGTAATCCCAGCTACTTGGAAGGCTGAGGCAGGAGAATCGCTAGAACCCAGGAGGCGGAGGTTGCAGTGAGCCGAGATCGCACCATTACACTCCAGCTTGGGCAACAAGAGCGAAACTCCATCTCAAAAACAAAACAAAACAAAACTAAAACTAAAACAAGAAAAGTGTGTGCCACCTTCCCCCTTCTCTCTCTTGCTCCCACTCCCACTGTGTGATTGGCAGATTCCCCCTCTGCCCTCTGCTATGATTGGAAGTTTCCCCAGGCCTCACCAGAAGCTGAGCAGATGCCAGTGCTATGCTTCCCGAACAGCCAGCAGAACCGTGAGCCAATTAAAAGTTTTTTCTTTATAAACTACCCAGCCTCAGGTATTCCTTTATAGCAATGCAAGAACTGAGTTACACAGAAGGAGAGGTTATTTATAGCTCTAGGCATAGGGAGGACCTCATAAAGGAGGTGGCCACTGTGCCAGGCCCATAAGGCTATGATTTTAATAGATGGAGATTGGGGATGAGAACGTTCCAGGCAGGCAGAACTGAGTGAGCCAATGTCTGAGGCAGCATAACCCAGGTATTTGCATCAGAATGCAAGGCAGGGGAGAGAAGGAATCCTTAAGTTCTTACAGAAGAACTTGGCTCACATGGCTTTTCCATGTCACCTGAGACAGCTTCTCCTTCCCTGCAACATAAGGTCTCTGTCACCCAAGCAGGAGGAACTGAGCAGACATTTCCTAAACAGAAAAGGCCTCATTGGGCCAGGTATGGTGGCTCACATCTGTAATCTCAGCACTTTGTGAGGCTAAGGAGGGCAGATCACTTGAGGTCGGGAGTTCAAGACCGGCCTGGCCAACATGGTGAAACCCCATGTCTACTAAAAATACAAAAATTAGCCGGGTGTGGTGGTGGGTGCCTGTAATTCCAGCTACTCAGGAGGCTGAGGCAGCAGAATCGCTTGAACCTGGGAGGCGGGGGTTGCAGTGATCCAAGATCGCACCACTGTACTCCAGCCTGGGCGACAGAGTGAGACTTCGAGGAAAAAAAAAAAAAAAAGCCTCGTTGGAGAGAACTGGAAGCTTGCTAGTCATGATGTCAGGAGGAGCTAGGGCCAGAGTAGAACCTGAACTTGAAGACAGAGTTGGAAAATTAGACCAATGGGAGGGAGCTGCTTCATCAGTAACCAGGCAGCTGGCAGGAAAAATCCGCATGGGCTGGGCTTGAGGAAAGTGTGGAACTGGATATTCCGGCAGGGGTGGGAGCAGCTGCAACCTGGCTACCTGCATATGGCATGAGCCGTAGTCACACAAACACTACACAGGTAGATGGTAAAAATGTCCCCAAGATTTCTGATAAAAAATTGTCACTCAGTTCGCGTGTGTATGTGTGTGTGTAACTCAGCGTGTGTGTGGTGGTGGTGGTGGCATCTTCTCAGCCTAAAACGAGCTGAAAGCGGGAGTGAGAGATGTGTGAGGCTCTTTCAGGTTCCTTCCTCTAGAGGAAGTCCCCTTGGCACTTCTGCAAACCCACAGAGTGTTTACTACACACACACACACACACACACACACACACAGATACACACACACAGATACACACACACAGATACACACACAGACACACACATACAGATACACAGAAACACACACAGATACACAGACACACACAGATACAACAGACACACATACACAGATACGCACACACAGACACACACGCACACACAGACACAGATACACACACAGATACACACATGCACACACAGACACAGATACACACAGACACGCATGCACACATACACAGACACACACACACAGACACACACGCACACACAGACACACACAGACACGCACACAGACATGCAAAACAGACACACAGACACACACAGACACACAGACACGCACGTGCACACACAGACACAGATATGCATGCACACACAGACACACGCACGTGCACACAGAGACACAGACACGCACACACAGACAGGCACACACAGACACATGCACACACACAGACACGCACACGGACGCACACACAGACACACGCACACAGAGAGACACACGCACACACACAGACACACACACACACACACAGACACAGACACACACGCACACACACAGACACACGCATACGCGTGCACGTGCACATTTTTCTGGATCACACCACGGAAGGGTTTTTCCCATACTGTCAGGAGCACACACTGAATATAAAGAGAGTTAGTGTTCTCCATGATTCATGGACAACAGCAAGGAGAAATAAAGGATGTATTTCTTGACTTCTGTCGTTGTCCATTCTCTGTTGCTTAAAACAGAATACCAGAAACTAGGTAATTTATAAAGAAAAGAACCGTATTACTTACCATTACGGAGGCTGGGAAATCCACGGTCGAGGGAGCACATCTGGTGAGAGGCTTCTTGCTGGGGAGGACTCTTCACAGAGCCCCAGGGAGGTGCAGGGCAGCCCATGGCTGAGGGTGCTGAGCGTGCTAACATTCTAGCTCGGCCCTGTCCTCCTCTTCCTACAAAACCACTAGTCCAACTCCCCACGAGAACCCATTAATTCATGAATGGATTAATCCATTCACGAGAGCACAGCCTTCATGACTCGAGCATCTCTTAAAGCTCCCACCTCTCAATTCTGCCTCACTAGGGATTAAATTTCAACATGAGTTTGGGAGGGGACATTCAAACCATAGCAACCTCTGTCTGACTTCTATGCAACTATATTCTTGTATCAGGACAGAAAGAGCTCTTAATAAGTACCTCACTGGATGTCCTCAAATATTACTCCTCAGAGATGCCTTTTGAGATGCTCTTTGTAAAAGTAAAGAAAAAGTATCTTGAAGTCCAACAAACTGGAAAAGATTCCGTAATATGTTACATTTTCTTCTTAAAAATTCACAACGCACATTAGCACATCAAAATCTCTGAGAAGTCCCCCGATACAGGAATTTGTTTAACATTACATATTCCAGTGTTTCCCCCAAATTTATGGAGCATAGAAGAGATTTTTTTAATAAGGATTAATATTCTATAAGACTATTGTTTGGTGGAACGTGCTTTGGGAAAGGCTGACCTAGAACAATAGAGACATTTTACAGACGAGAAGACTGAGTTCCAGAGATGTAAGTGACCCATACCCATGGAATCTTGCCTCACTGCAACCCCTGCCTCCGGGGTTCAAGCGATTCTCCTGCCTCAGCCTCCTGAGTAGTTGGGATTACAGGCGCATGCCACCACACCCAGCTATTTTTTTCTGTATTTTTAGTAGAGACAGGGTCTCACCATGTTGGCCAAGTATGGTCTCCATCTCCTGACTTCGTGATCCGCCCGCCTCGGCCTCCCAAAATGCTGGGATTACAGGCGTGAGCCACCGCACCCAGCCACCTGAAGTGCTATTTTAAGACATCCTCTGCCCAAGCCACCTCCAAGAACTCTACCCTTTCTCCCCAGTGCCTAGGATGTCTTTAAAGGGAACCCACATCTTTGATCCCACAATCTGAAATGACAGTTCCTGGCCCAGGCAGCACTTACGCGAAATGTTCTTTTCCTTAGGTGAGTTTGTGAATCCACAAAATGTGTGGATTTTAGATTCTATGCTGTTCTGCTAAACTCAAAAAGTTCAGGACAGAGGGACACAGGCACCCCATAAAGGATAGGGGCGGAGTGGGGGCCGGCGGAGAACAAAATGACAGAGGATGTCAGAGTCAGGTACGGAGGGATCGGACGCCACTTCCTCGGGCTGGCTTGCTGTCCTGCTTGGCTGCTGAAGCACACACGCTATGTAACACCCGCCTCCCTGGCTTCATGGGATTTATAAAGATTTTTTCTTTTAATCCTTCTGGCTTTATTCAAAACGAACACCATTTCTAAGGATTCATATTCATCAAAGGGGTCACTAGGCTCTGACTCTGGGCCCAAGCTGAACTCACCCGTCTAAGCTATTCTGAATTCTCTTAATCTCCTTGGCTGGCCTCCACCTTCTCTTTGCCCAGCCCTGGCTCTGTGCTGGCCTCGTCTCTATTCCTGGTGGGAAAGGCAGTTCTCTTTAGAAGACAAGTTAGACCTTCACTTCTCCGTGCATTAGGTAGAAAGACAAGAAGCGATTCAGAAAAGGCCTCTGAGTCTTAGGTGAGAAACTCTGGTTTTTAATTCTTGACTCTACCAATTCATATGAGCCTGGTCTCCTCCAGGTCCATAAAATTGAGATCATTGTACTTGTCTTTATTAATAACTCAACACTCAAAACAGTGGAAAGGCCAGGCGCGGTGTCTCACGCTTGTAATCCCAGCACTTCGGGAGGCCGAGGCGGACGGATCACGAGGTCAGGAGTTTGAGATCAGCCTGGCCAACATGGTGAAACCCTGTCTCTACTAAAAATACAAAAAATTAGCTGGGCATAGTGGCGGGTGCCTGTAATCCCAGCTACTTGGGAGGCTGAGGCAGGAGAATCGCTTGAACCCGGGAGGCAGAGGTTGCAGTGAGCCAAGATCATGCCATTGCACACCAGCCCTGGCGACAGAGCGAGCCTCCGTCAAAAAAAACAGAAAAAACTGTGGAATGCAGTTCACAAAATACTTTCACAACTTTCTCACTGGAGACCTTTCATTAGACCCATTTTGCAGATGAGGAAAGTGAGGCTCAGAGAGGCCAGGAAACTTGCGATGGTGACTGACCGTGGCAGAAACAGGCAGAGATGCCAGGCGTTGTGGATGTAAATGCCACACATTGCCCATGGTATCCATCTGCTGCCAACATGCTGGCCTGACTCGCCAGGGTATGGTTGGGATCGGATGAGGCGACGTGAGAGAAGGCTCTGCATCAGCCCCCGAGTTCTCCGAGAGAGAGCAGGGTGTGAGGACTGAGGTGTTTCCAGTGCTTTGGGGACATCCTTGGGAGAACCGGCGAGGCTCAGATGAATTGTTTCCTCTGTGACCGTGATACTGCTGCTGACATCAGGAGAAGTGTCCAATCACATTAATCCAAAGTGACTTAATTGAAATGCTGCAGAGGCCGCTGTGGCTGCCCATGGACTGACAGGTCCCTGATCCTGTTGCCCTCAGCCCCAGGCTGTGTAAATATTCTCCTTCGGGCCCTCTGAGATGGACAGTCATGTGACGCACGAATCCCTGGCTGCGCATTCGAGTCAGAAAACATCCCAGTGGAGAAGCTCCAGGAAATGGTTACATCATCACCCCAACCTGAGTTTCTCTTCTCCCTATAGCTCAGCAGAGGGGTGATGCAGAAGTGTGAAGGAATGAGGCCTACGGGCACTTGGAAATTCACGAGCATGGGCATGGCAAATCTTAAGGTTTATAAGGATTAGACATGCACTGCCAGAAGCGTATGCTTGCACACATATCATCCTTCCCATGTGCTGTGACTGGATATTTGTGTCCCCTCCCCAGGTTCATATGCTGAAACCCTAACCCCAATGTAATGGTATTAGGAGGTGGGGGCCTTTGCGTGGTGATTAGGTCATGAGGGTGGAGCCCTCACGTATGGAATTAGTGCCTTTATAAGAAGAGGCTAGAGAGCAAGCCAGATCTCTTTCTGCCGTGCGAGGTTACTACAAAAAGCTGTCTGCTGGCCAGGTATGGTGGCCCATGCCTGTTATCCTAACACTTTGGGAGGCTGAGGTGGGCAGATTGCTTGAGCCCAGGAGTTATAGTGAGACTCCACCTCCACCAAAAAATAAAAAAGTTAGCCAGGTGTGGTGGCGTGCGCCTCTAGTCCCAGCTACTTGGGAAGTTGAGATGGGAGGATCACTTGAGCCCAGGAGATTTTGGCTGCAGTGAGCCATGATCCACTGCACTCCAGCCTGGGTGACAGAGCAAGACCCTGTCTCAAAAAATAAAAAAAATGAAAGAAGCTCTCTGCACCTGGAAGAGGGCCCTCACCAGAACCCCACCATGCAGGCATCTCAGACTTCCAGTCTCCAGATCTGAAAAGCTGTTCCTGTTGTTGATAAACCACCCCATCTATGGTAATTTGTTACAGGACTAAGATAGTATGGGACCCTGGGGAGGTGGAAGGTGAATGCTGGGTGGTGCTGGGGAGGCAAAAAGATGGGCTGTGTGTTGGGAAGTCAGGGTGATGGAGAGAGGACATAAAAGCTAACAGGAGGAATTTAGACTTGATGCTAGGGGAAATAGGGAGCCATAGAGAGTTCTTGAATAGGAAAATTAAATTACTTGGGGTTTTCTCTCCTATAAAAGAAAAAAAAATTCTTGAAGTCTACAGATGCTCCCTAAACTCCCTCTGTTCCTGGAATCTTCCAGCAATGGTAGCTGGCATGAACCTTGCCCTTGGGGTTGCTTAGAGTCTGGAAATAAATAATAGTTCATGCTAACCACTGCAAAAATGCTCTAATAGAACTCATTATAGTCTAATAAGATTTAAATGCGTATGAACTGTGATAGAAGTTTCGTAAGTATTGTTTCATGTAATCTTCAAAGCAAGGCTAAGGTGGGGACTATTGGATAAGTGATAAGTGATAAGTGATAAGTGACTATTGGTTGGTGATAAGAATGCCATTCCTTTGAAGAGTCAATGGGAAAAAAACATGCTCTGCTTCAGCTCCCACCAGGATCAGACTGGGGGCGGCTCCCTTGTCTCAGGCATCTTTGCACCCCCGGCACCTTTCCTTGATTGCATTAAGTCAGTGATGTAGCGGGACAGCGCTGGGCCCGGGCTCTGCAGCCCTGAGCTCTAACACGGAAACTGCCTCTACCTACGCTGTCTTGAGCAAGTCACTTTCCCTCAGAGGCCCTTGAACGCACTCCTGTAAACTGCGTGGGGATGAACCAGATGATTTCCCAGGCTCCTCCCACTCGACAGTCTATGATTCTATTTTGGGCTGACGTGTTAGTAGAGAGAGTGCAGGACACTCAGCTGGGACAGGACCCCAGAGAGTGACTTGCCATGGTCTCAATCCTCCATCTGTCACCCCCTAAACCAGAATTTGGTTACATCTTCACACCAAGTGGATATCCATGGACTTAGAATTTTAAAGGGAACTGCATATGTAAGGCTGTGGCTCAAGATTTTTCACCTGATGTGTGCAACCTGACAGATGACACTCACATACAAAGAGTATCTATCCCCCTGGAGCACATAAATGAGTCTGGTGGCGGCTTCTGCCCAATACCTGGTACACACACAACGATTCCTTCCTTTCATAGTCAAGAAATCATGATGGAATGCAAGCGAATGCGTGACTCACCTGCTGAGTCTTAGTAACAGACATGGCTCTGAATCTGCTCTCACTCATTTAAAAATAAATTGCGAACTTTGATCATTTCCCTTCAACAAGAAGCCAATTATTTTAGATTCATACCATAATGAATGCTATTTCCAAAGCTGAGAATCCCTGGTCTAAGACTTGCAGTATTAGTCCAGATAGGATAGGTTAGGCTGCAATAACAAACAACCCCCCAAATTCCAGTGCTTTAAACCAACACATTTATTTTTAGCTCATTCTGTATAGACTTTTCAGGTTGGCAAGGGGTCTGTCCTCATTGTAGCTATTCAGGGACCCAGGCTGATGGAGACTTCCTCTTGATATGGGCCTCTGGGATTACAGAGCAAGGGAACAGGAACCAAGGGAAAAGACACTGGCTCTTAAAGCTGCTCAGATCCACCTCATTTTTGCTCCCAGTTCATTGGTCAAAGAGTGTTACGTGGCCAAGCCAGAGTCCAATAGGGTGGATTATATCAGGCTCCCACACAGAGGAGCAGCTCATGTCCCTGAGCAGTAAAGCAGTCTGCACACTCCCCATTCCTCATCCAGTTAAGGGGCTAGAAATTCACCATTTGCCCCCTGGTTGTGAAGTGTAACCCACTTCTGGATGCATTCTCTTTATCTTTCAGATGAAAAGTGTAGGAGTTTCCGGAGTGTAGTGCCAGCTGAAGAACAAGGTAAATACCTTACTCACACTCTGCCCACTAGCACTCCTCATAGCTTGGACTATTTTTATAGTTTTATTGGGAATAGGGGAAATGATGAGGGAGTCATTGATGATTTTTCCATGAAGTCCAGCCCAAAAGCTAGAACCACAGGCTCTCTTCCTGTGCCCTATAGCCAGTGGTGTGCTGGCAAATGTTTAACAGCCAACTTTGTAGGGTGGATGGGAAGCCCTGATTGGCAGCACTGGCCGTGTTCCATGGTGTAAATATTCCCACCATAGCCAATTTCAATTGCAAGATGAATGCAGCTCTCAGTTGCAAGATGAACACAGAGCTCTGAGATAAGCTTCAGCACACCACTGCCTAGAGCAGTTTTTTCTTCTCTCTAAAGCTCCCTAACACTCAGTATCTTTGTAATTACTTTCTTAGTGTCTGTTCTCCCAGCTGGAGTAGAGGTTTTGTGAAGGCATGGATCACGTCTATTCATTGCTGTGTCTCCGTTACCTAACTTGCCTTAGAGGAGTCCTTTCGCAAAGATGAATTTCCTTTTCTGTCCCTTTTCTCCATTGCTCTCCACTGGCAACAGAGTTCCTTGAAGCCACAGGTGGGATCCTCTCCAGGAAGTAAACAAGTGGCTTCCACAGAAACAAATGAGGTTTTGGTACCTGCAGACAGGACTCTCCAACTCACAGACCCTCCACCCCCATGTTTGTGTAACTTTTTCTTGCAAAAGGCAAAGATGATATCTTCTGGTAAAATCAAAACATCATGGTGAGAGGTGAGGCTAGCCAGACTTCCTGGGTCAAGTGGGGAGTTGGGGAACTTTTCTGTCTTACAAGAGGTTTGTAAAACGCACCAATCAGGAACTTTTCTGTCTTAAAGAGGTTTGTAAAACATACCAATCAGCACTCTGTAAAGCGCACCAATCAGCGCTCTGTAAAACGCACCAATCAGCACTCTGTAAAATGCACCAATCAGCAGAATTCTAAAAGTAGCCAATAGCGGGGAGGACTGGAAAAAGGGCACTCTGATAGGACAGAAACAGAACATGGGAGGGGCCAATAAGGGGATAAAAGCTGGCCACCCCAGCCCGCCACAGCCACCCTCTCAGGTACCCTTCTATGGTTTGGAGTGTTCGTCCTTTCACTCTTCACAATAAACCTTGCTACCGCTCACTCTTTGGGTCTGTGCCACCTTTAAGAGCTGTAACACTCACTGCGAAGGTCTGTGGCTTCGTTCTTGAAGTCAGCCAGACCATGAACCCACCGGCAGGAACCAACTCCAGACACAATGGTAGTTTTTGAGCTAGGGCATGGAGACCCCCAGCACCACTCATATCCTCACAGCAGGGTTTTGCTTAGTTTCCCCGCCCCCACCCCACCGCCCGTTCAGCTACGGGCAATCCCTACAACCGTCTCTTTCAGCCCTGAGGAGTGCCTTTCCATTGCCAGCTAAGATTCAGCAGAGGCATCTGTGATTTTCACTCCAGCGTGTCTGTTTTTCATGTTTTGTTTAGAAGTGAACTAAATCAAAGGATTGAACATTTTAGTATTTCTGAATTAGAAGTGTCCAGCGTTTCCAACATCCCGTTCTTTGGCAGGTGTTTTGTGGCTGTCCATCGGGGGCGAGGTCCTGGATATCGTTCTGATACTGACAAGCGCCATCCTCCTGGGCTCCAGAGTGAGTTGTCGCAGCCCTGGGTTCCACTGGCTCAGGGTGGATGCCTTGGTAGCCATCTTCATGGTGCTGGCAGGTACTTTCCAACAGCATCCTTGGAACAGGCTGCCCCAGAGGGAAAGCAGAGTGTCAGACTGGACATGCTCATTACCAAAGAACAGGCTGGCTCTTTCCCATCAATGGCCATTTAAGCAGGGCGGGTGGTCCCCTGGATAAGTCACCAATGAATTCCATTGGCTGGAGACAATATTTTTAGGGTGACAGATGAAAAGGGGCTAGGCACAGATAGAAAGTGAAATTTATCCGTTTGTCACAACCAGGGAAGAGGGTGCCCTGGCTCTGACAGCTGACATCACTTCACTGAAAGCAGTACTTAGGCATGAGTCTGTGGAGGGATCCTGCTCAGTTGCAGACGTCTCCTTAATGGGTGTATGACCTCAGGCAAGTTACTTCTCTAAGACAGAACACTATAATGTATCTCAAGACACTTTGGCGATGACTAAATAAGAGTGCACCTAGTATAGAAGAAGTAATACATGGTAGTTTTAAAAAAAGTATCAACATTTGGTACAAATATTCCATAAAAATAAAGAACTCCTTTTTTTTAGATCTACTTCTGTGTTCTCCAAGCAACTTTTAAAGCCACTTAATCGGGTCTCCTAAGTGGGCCTTTCCAGGGAGAAAGAACCCTGAACAAATGACTTCCTTTAGTCCTCAAACTGGATATGAAAAGTTACTCATGTTAAGTTCATCATGTAGCAGGCCAATTTGTACATCATTGTTGTGCTTGATAAGTGTAATGCATCTTTCCTAAGTCCTTTTTTTAAAGTCCCTTTTAATTATTTTATTTTACTTATTTTGGGACTTATTTATTTATTTGGAACCTCTCAATCAGAGGTCCCCCCAGAGTGGTCTCAAACCCCTGAGCTTAAGCAATCCTCCCTCCTCAGCCTCCCGAGTACCTGGGATTACAGGTGCATGCCACCATGCCTACCTCCCTCAAGTCTTATCCTCAGCGAATGGGATGATAAAATCCAATTTCTGATCTTCTTAGGAAGGAACCAGGCCATGGAGACTCCTACCCAGGTTCTGACAGGTCCTCCCCGATTGTGTCTTTCCGGATGTCTCTTCAGTTTCAATTGTGGGAAAGAGATGTCCAGCGGAATGTTTAAGGATGAATACATGCAGATACATCAAAAGGACTTTATGAATGCTAGAGAGCTCCTTACAGCCAACTCACACCGCGTAGAGTTCTTCCATCATGTGTCTTCTTAGCTGTGACTCACAGAGCTTTCCTTGCGCAGGGCTTCTAGGCATGGTGGCCCACATGATGTACACAACCATTTTTCAAATCACTGTGAACCTTGGACCAGAAGATTGGAAGCCTCAGACCTGGGACTATGGCTGGTCATATTGGTAAGTTGCTTGGTCATGGTGCTGAAGTCCTGGAGGATCAGGAGAGATGCACATAAACATACACATGTTTTGTAGGATGACCAACCTTGGTCATAGTGCTGGCATCTGCCAGTATTGTGACTTTGGGTTAATTCTGTGACCCATCTGTAGCCCAATTCCCTCATCGATAAAGTGAGGATACCTGCCTCAAATGTTTGTATAGGGATTTAAAGAGATTATGTTTATAAAACTCTTTGCACATAGTAAAGTCCCCGAGAAATTGAGACGTTGTTGATGATCAGTTCTTAAATACAGTGTGGGAGGAAGTGTCTTGATCTATAACTCCTAATAAATAACTTCAACTGGGGGAGACCCAGCCCCTGTTTCTAATGCAAAGACAAGGTCACGACATGGGAATTCTGTCTCTAACTGACTCGACCATATTATCCAAGACCACAGGGGTTGTCTTTGATGTGGACCTCTGAAGCATATCGTATCTTAAAAATAGATGTACATAACTTACATTTTCATCTTATATAACAACCTCTTATGTTACTTTCCTCTTTGTAAAACACATAACACGTTCAGGGCTCACTCCCTCACCCTACTATTCTAGGATTCAGTGAACGCATGTGTGTTACTGTGAGCCATATGCTTCGTGAGTTGTTAGAGTCTGAACTTTTCTTAGTCTTCGTCTTCCCAGTCTGAAGATGTTAATTTTTACAAATGTTTCTCTGGGCACCTGTCCCTTCACCTGTTTGTCACTTAGCTACCCCCCTTTGAATTAGTGCTATTGGTTCTGAGGGGCTATCACTGGCACCTTACACAGTTGAGAGTGTAGTTGCAGCAGGGCTCAGATGAATTGTAGGTGGGTTCTCAACCGTGGCCAATTTGTACTGCCCTCCTTTTGCTATGGATAGAAGCAAATTCCAAACACTAAAGGAGCCTGAAGAATGGTCTGTTTGTTTCCAGTATCATTTTGTTTTGTTTTTGTTTTCTATTACTTTCAATTACTTAATTTTTAGCAAAAGAAGCATATGTAAATGGTTGTTAAAAATCAAATAGTACTAAGCGTAACAATCTATCAATTCCATTCTCTCCCTGTGCCACCCTTCTGATACCCACCAAGTTCATTCTGTTTGTGCTTAGTAAACCAGTTACTGTGATGATGGGTCTTACAAAAGATTTATTCACAGGGCAGATAAAACATTTATTCACAGGGCAGCCCAATAAGGAGGTGGGAGAACAGCTCTCAAAGCCTGCCTGAAGATAAGACTTAGGGATATTTATGGGTTAGAGAAGCAGGGTGGTCTAAGGCAAGAGGAAAGGTGATTGGCAATGGGGAAAAATAAAGTCACTAGTGATCTGTGCAAGCATAGTCAGGGTTCATGGCTCTTCACAAGATGCATGTTCAGAAAATGGTAGCATTAGCATGTTCTAAGGGTAGAGTTTTTGGCTTTCTGACATCAAAAGGCCACCTCTCAGGCACTTGCACAGGATCAGCTGAAGGATCAGTGGTCTCAACCAGTTTGAACTGGATAGGAGCTGCCCCAAGTTCCTGAAAAACAAGCAGCCATTACCATGGTGACGTGTACATCAGAAATGTTCTCCGTAAGGAAGCCAGGAGTTTAGTGGCGTGGCTTTTAGCTATATGGGGACGAAAGAAAGCAAGCAACCAAAAGCAAGCAGGGCAGGTTAGGTTTGGTGGACCTAATCAGATTAGCTTCTCAGTTTTACTTCCAAACCCCCAAAGCCCTCGGTCTTCCTGCCCTGTTCCAGGCTCGTTGCAGTCTAGAGCTATCATCATGAGACTTCCCTGCGCCACTCCCTTATCTTGGAATGCTATTTCTTAGGTCCCATTGAATTATCTTCTTTAGTTTACCTTTTCTGGGAGTACATCCTTCAGCAGCTTCCTAAGAAAGGATCCAATGAGAGATAAATTATTTTACTCCTTGCATGCCTGGAAATTCAATACTCCATACTTGATCGATTGTTTGGCACAGTGCAGAATTCTCTGCCGGAAATCATTTTCCCAAAGAATTTAGATGGCCGTACTCCATTCTCTTCCAGCATTCATAGTTTCTGTCAAGAGTCCAACACGATTCTGATTCATGTGCCTTTGTAGGTGGCCTGTTATTTTCTTCTCTTTATGACCAATGTTCTGAAATGCCATGATGATGTCCTTTGGCGAGGATCCTCTTTTCTCCACATTCATCCTTCATCTATGTGCTTGGGGTGGGGGAGGGGGGAGCCTTTAATCTGAATATTCATGTCCTGGAATTATGGTGATTTTTGTATTTGTATTATTTCTTTGATTATTTCCTTTCGTCAGTTTTTTGTTCTCCTTTTAGAAAACACTTGTTAGTTAGATATTAGGTCTTTTGGGTTTATTATTCAAGGATCTTATTACTTTCTTTATATTTTGTTTCTCTTTTTATTATATTTTCTGAAAATTTTTCTCTACTTGTCTTCCAGCCTTTCTGTTGAATTCTTATTTTGGACTTATTTTAATTTTCCAAGCTCTTCCTTGTTTTCCAGCTGTTCCTTTTTCATAATATCCTGATCTTGCTTTATTGATACAGCATCTTCTTTTCTCATATTCCTCTGAGGATATTAATCGAAGGGTTTGGTTTTTGTTGCTGTTTTCTTTTGTTCCTTGTGTTATCTCTTTCCTTTAGAATTCTTTCCCCTCCCTGCTTTGTTGTTGGACCTTTCCCCCAAACGTTGGCATCTTTGATTGTCAAGGATAATTGGAAGCTCTGGAGCAGGGTTGGTATTTATCTACTGGTAGGCTCTTTTGTTGTTGTTTTGGCATGTGATTGGGTATGGCACCATCTATTTTATCTTGGAATTCCACTCCACAAAAACACACACAAATATCGGTTTGTAGAGGTTCTTTCCACAACCTGTCAGTGTCTTCAGAAGGGAATCATCCAATATCCGCAGGAAGTGGAGTAAGCTCACATGCCTGGCTGATAATTTCTGAGGTTAGGCATAGGAAAGGGCTGGACAGCTTCCCACTCCTGTGCAGATTTCCATACAATCCCATTTTCAGACCAGCCCCCTTCCCTGCCTTCCAATGGGCCTGCTGTCTCTGAATCCGGAGCCTTTCCTTCCGTTCACCTTCTCCAGAGAATAAAACTTTGCTTTTCTGGGGGAAAGGGAGGTGGGATGGAGTGTTTGTGGTAAGGAGGAGACTGGGGAAAGGGCTGCATTTTTTGTGCCGTATTTGTGCCTCAAGGTTCTGCACCTCTCAAGGATTCAGCAGTGCTGATATAACAGGCATCCTTCTTGTCTTGTGGGTGGCCCTCATTGCAGACACTTTCTGTGTCGCATCCCTCACTCCATAAATTAGTCATCCCTCTCCCAGCCGTTTCCGTACTCTCATGTCTCCTCTCCAATTCTCCTTGTCCTTGTGTGTTCACACTAGTACACATCCCTTTACTCTCGTTTCAGTGGGGGTGTGGAGAGATGCAATGAGTTTCTGCCCTCATTTAAACCAAAATAATCACCTACTTAATGAAAACACGAAGCAAGACCAGGCCCAAACCAGAACCTTGACATGTGTCCTTGGTTAACCGAGTCCACAGCATCAGGAGGCAGCAAAGTCTCGCAAGTCAGCCAGCAGTATCTGGACTCACAGGGTTTGCAGCCGCATCCAGGATGTCCCACTTTCTAAATGGTAGTCGTGGACAAGTTGCTTAACTTCTGTGTCTCAGTTTCCTCATCTGTAAAATGGAGATAATTATAGTGCCTCCATCAGGGGGTCGCCGTGAGGTGTTCAGTTAGATAATCTGGTGCCCATCACAGCACCTGGCATACATACAAGACTGTTTATTATTGTTAATCTTATTATTATCCATTGGGAAGTGTCTCTGGTTAGCCCTACATTTTGCTTTTCTTCTCTAGGTTGTTCTTTGTCCACCACACAGCCCTTCTCTTTATCTCATAATAATGCAAACATTTGAACACCCTTTGGTATAAAGCAGATGCTAATTACCATGTTCCCAACACAGTGCTGGGTTCTTTGAAGGATGAAAAGTGTAGCCCATCATCTCAGTATGCAACAGGCTTACAGCCTGGATGGGGATATAAGAATAATGATGCTGGTCGGGCGCGGTGGCTCATGTCTGTGATCCCAGCACTGTGGGAGGCCAAGGCGGGCGGATCACCTGAGGTCGGGAGGTCAAGACCGGCCTGGCCAACATGGTGAAGCCCTGTCTCTACTAAAAATACAAAAATTAGCCGGGTGTGGTGGCGCATGCCTGTGGTCCCGGCTACTTGGGAGGCTGAGGCAGGGGAATTGCTTGAACCGGGAGGCAGAGGTTGCAGTGAGCCAAGATCATGCCATTGCACTCCAGCCTGGGCGACAGAGAGGGACTCTGTCTCAAAAAAAAAAAAAAAAAAAAAGTAATGACACCAATGCCACTGTCCTGGGTTACAGCCAACAACAGCAATAATCTGGAAACTTCTATGCAGCAGATGCTATACTAAGTATTAATACTTCCCACGCATTCACTCACTGAATTCCTCACAGCCACCCTGGTGGCAGCATTAATATTATTCCAGCTTTGCAGATGAGGGAACTGATTCAAAGAGGTAAAGCAACCAGCTCAAGGTCACATGGTTAATACAAGGTGGGGCCACGATGCAAAGCCAGCACAGTGACTCCAGAATCCATTCTCTTAACCCTTGGGCTAAACAGTACGTTGACTAGACTCTGGGATTTGTGATCCAAAATGCAGGTCCAAACTGAGTAGAACGAGGAGCTGTTGTTTTCTCCAGATTGACCCCCAGTCTGGAGAAAACAGGAAGTCCTGGAATCACAGCCCTCAGCCCTTTCCTAACGGTGCCTTCTGTTGACAGCCTTGCCTGGGGTTCTTTCGCCCTCTGCCTGGCTGTGTCGGTCTCGGCCATGAGCAGGTTCACGGCAGCCCGCCTGGAATTCACCGAGAAGCAGCAGGCACAGAACGGCAGTCGGCACTCTCAACACAGCTTCCTGGAACCCGAGGCTTCGGAGAGCATTTGGAAAACAGGAGCTGCTCCTTGCCCTGCTGAACAAGCCTTCAGGAATGTTTCTGGACACCTCCCACCAGGCGCCCCAGGCAAGGTGTCCATATGCTAGCCAGTGTCCATGGCTGCCACATCCGCACAGGCAAACAAGCCAGGCACTGACACTCACAATGTACACCCTGCCTCTGGGTTGGACTTCAGGAGATTGTTGTCCAGGGAAAGCTTCCATCCCCACCCCTCCACATCTCACCTTTTACTAAACACCTTTGGCTTTAGCCTTTGATTCCTGTTAAAATGCCAGTACCTTGAAGTGAGATAATGCTTACTGAAGATATCAACCATTGACACTCTAGTATAAAAGAGAGCTTCTTAATGACAGTGAATTTGATAAGGATACCAAAGAAACAGGGAGGATGCCAGTACTAAGGGAAGAGAAGTTGAAGAAAGAGGAAAGCAAGTCTTTTTAACTACAAGGGAGGCAAAATGTGTTGTCCGCATAGGTTTGTTGACAGAAAAATCCAGAAAATGTTTTCTCCTAATTGACACACACAATAAAGTATGTGTGGCTATGTCATACTTTCTTTTTCATTTGAATCAAGAAGACAGAAATTTCAAAATATGTTTCCTGTTATTTTTTAAAATATTTTTTCTTGGAAATTTTGTGTTTCTACTCATAGTAAAATCAGTTTGGAAGGACAGTCGAATGATAGAAATGAAAACACAGTCAAATGGAATGACATCTTATCTTAGTTTAAGTGGAACACATGTTTGAGTTGTTCTGCTTAAATTAAATCGCCAGCCACTTTTGCTTCTAAAAATAAACATTACCAAACATGCAGGTCTTGTTGGAGGCAGTGGTGGGCTGCAGGATTCCTAATACAGTCATCTGCAATATTGTATCAATTCATCCCATGTCCAGCTACCATGTTATTCAGGCCACAGGTTGTTCCACACATAATTTGATTTTTTGAAAAAAGAAAGGGGGTGGGTGTAGTGGCTCACGCCTGTAATCCCAGCACTTTGTGAGGCCGAGGTAGACAGATCACTTGAGGTCAGGAGTTCGAGACCAGCCTGGCCAACATGGTGAAACCCTGTCTCTACTAAAAAAAAAAAAACATCAAAAATAGCCAAGCATGGTGGCACATGTCTGTAATCCCAGCTACTCAGGAGGCTGAGGCAGGGAAATCGCTTGAACCTGGGAGGTGGAGGTTGCAGTGAGCAGAGATCGCGCCATTGCACTCCAGCCTGGGCAATAGAGTGAGACCCTGTCTCAAAAAAAAGAAAAAGAAAAAGAAAAGAAAGGGACTGCAAACTCTAACAACCTTCAATATGTCCTTGCTCAGATCCATTTTAAAAATTATATTCACGTGTTTTGTAAACATATCATTTCTGGGAAAAAAATCCAATAAAAATCTGTTTATGCTGAACTGTAACACTTATACTGTCATAAAAAAAATGAAAAAAAAAATCCAGCTACCTTCGTGTTTGTGGCTCAAGGTGAGCACCTGCCTGACAAATGCTGCTTCTGTGGAATTTTGTGTTTCATTGCGCTAAGCATATATGAGAGATAGACAATGGATTCTTGCTGGAATAAGCCCAACCCAGAGAATGTCTGCTGGGGTTCCCTGGGCCATGTGCTCACCTAGAGCAGGAGAGTTTGTACCCACAAGCCTCTGCCCTTTGCAGTGTGCAGGTTCTTTCATATGGTTTTTCATCCCTATGTATTCATGTAGGCAGGTCCTGTGTGACTGTCACGATATCAGGTCAAAGTCTCATCTTACAGGGAATGAAATACACTGGAGAGAGACTTCGCTGAATTCGCTGTTGTGAAAAACACCTGTGAACACTGTGGCTGAGGATGCCAAAGAAGAAATAAACTTTTAAAAACTATTTGGACAAGTTTTTATTTTTATTTATTTATTTTCTTTATCAATTTTTATTTTAGGTTCAGAGTGGGGGTACATGTGCAGGTTTGTTACATGGGTAAAGAAATAAATTTTTTGCTGGGCGTGGTGGCTCACACCTGTAGTCGCAGCACTTTGGGAGGCCCAGGCAGGTGGATCACTCGAGGTCAGGAGTTCGAGACCAGCCTGGCCAACATGGTGAAACCCCATCTCTACTAAAAATACAAAAAATCAGCCAGGTGTGGTGGCAGATGCCTGTAATTCCAGCTACTCGGGAGGCTGAGGCAGGAGAATCAGTTAAACCCCCGGGAGGCGGAGGTTGCATTGAGTCGAGATCGCGCCCCTGCACTCTAGCCTAGGCAACAAAAGGAAAACTCTGAAAAAAAAAAAAAAGAGAGGGAGAGAGGAAGGAAGGAAGGAAGGAAGGAAAGAAAGAAGGAATTTTTGGAGCCATGTGAGGGCAGCTGGCATCATCAGATGATACACTTGGCCTCTGGAGAAGAAAGCCAGTGGTCAGTCAGACACCAAGGCAGGACAGAAGGCAACTGGTCACTGAGGCTCAAGTCAAAAACCATTCCTTGCTATATCCTCTGAGCTCACAAGGCACTTTGCTTCCTTATAAATGTTTTAAATGTCAATTTTATCGAAGTATAACACACGGAGAGAAAAGTACACAAATCACAAATGTACAGCTTCATAAATGTTTAGAAAGTGAACACGCCCAGGTATCCGTGCTCCACCTCAAGAAACAGAAGCAAGGCGCCTCATTTCATCTATCTTTGCTGCAATACACACCCAGTTGGATCTTCATTTGGTATAATGAAGTCATCTCTTTTCATCTTTCTCCCCCTCATACATGCTACATTTTTCTATGCAAGAACTGTTCGCTGTACCCTCAGCATCTAGAACAACGGTTGGCAAATGGAAAATGTTATATTTGTATATATGTATATGTAAACATATGAATATGCATGTGTGTATACACACACACACACACACAGACACTGTCAAATAGACTCCTTTTTAGCTTTCTATGGGAAGTAATATAGCTCATGATTGAGAGCATGGACTCTAGAGTCAGACAATCTGCATATACATCCTGGTTCCTCACTTTGACCTTGAGCAAGCCACTGAATCTCTCTACACCTCAGTTTTGTTACCTGTAAAAACAATCCTCCTATTTTTTTTTTTTTTGTTTTTCTGAGACGGAGTCTCACTCTGTTGCCCAGGCTGGAGTGCAGTGGTGCGACCTCGGCTCACCGCAACCTCCATCTCCCAGGTTCAAGTGATTCTCCTGCCTCAGCCTCCTGAGTAGCTAGGATTACAGGTGCCTGCCACCACATCCGGCTAATTTTTGTATTTTTAGTAAAAATGGGGTTTCACCATGTTGGCCAGGCTTGTCTTGAACTCCTGACCTCAGGTGATCTGCCTGCCTCAGCCTCCCAAAGTGCTGGAATTACAGGTGTAAGCCACCCCACCTGGCCCTCCTATTTTGAGAGCTGTGAGGACTAAGTGTGTTAGTGTATGTGAAGATCTGAGAACCACGCCTGGCACTTAGTACAATGGAAAGATTCGCTGCTAGCATCTGCCGAGTGCAAGCCCTGTTAGGTCCTGTGGGTGACAAAGAGACGCTGCGGAGATGAGTCTTTGTCAATGAGTTGGGGAAGCACTGGTGAAAGGTTCAGTGACCGTGTCTGAGAGAAAGGCAGGATCAAGTGAGTGCAAACCCGCCAATCATTTTTAGCCTGAAAGTCATCAGTCCTTAGATAATCAGCCAGTGAATTTTATCAGGTGTTTACAATGTTCTGGGAACTGTGCCATTTCTCCTGGAAGGAAGGAATCAAAACTCCTTTCATTTCTGGGAAAGAGAATGCCCGTTGAGGTCAGTTGTCCGGGTCTACTGTCTACTTAATACGCCCACAGACAAGGCAGTCTCCTGGGGGTCCATTGTTCTAAACAACAAACCCATCATTAAATGGAGCCAGCGCTGGTCCTGAGAGATCTTCCCCAGCCAGGTTTGGGGAACTCAGGAGCAAGAGTCCATGTTCCCTCTTACGAGGCAGCAAAGAAAGATGGCCGCTGACTCAAGGTGGCTGGGCAGGAATTGAACAAGGTGTTTACAGAGGAAGAACTGAGAATGCGGTAGTCTGACTCCAGGAAGCCAACTATTTTTCCAGAATTCGTGAATTCAGCCCTAAACTTATTAGACTGGCTCAGAGTCTGCATGACACTGACAGCTTAACTGCCTTTCTGGTGAACCCTCTTGGAACCATCTGGGCTGATAGGGACTTCTCTGAAGACCAGGAAAACATCAGTTGGCCTATTTAATGAGACAGGAATTAGGTTTGCTCATGTAAATATTTTTGACTCATTAAACGTCTCTGAAGAATATGTGTATATAAAGCATGGTGCGGGAGGCATGGGAGATACAAGGCTCTGCCCTGCCCTCAAGGGGTCAGCTATAGAAACAAGTTAGTGTTGTGTGGCAGGTGGGGTGAGGTGGAGGGTTGTGGGAAGATCAGAAAATTGCTAAATTATCTGAAGGTTAAAGGACATTTCAATCATGTAGATGCTGACCAATATCGCCAGTTACTCGTGTTAAGTCTGCATTGCATCTGAAAGACAGAATATAAAAGTGGGGCATGAGGAACTCAGGTTTTTTTGAGTTGCCACATGACACAAGAGCGAGACAACATCTGCACAATGAAAATTTGGGAGAAAAGAAAAAGAGCAATTTGACTGATCAACTTGGTGAAACCCCATCTCTACTAAAAATACAAAAATTAGCTAGGCGTGGTGGCCCATGCCTATAATCCCAGCACTTTTGGAGGCTGAGGCAGGCAGAACACCTGAGGTCAGGAGTTTAAGACCAGCCTGGCCAACATGGTGAAACCCAGTCTCTACTAAAAATACAAACATTAGCCGAGCATGGTGGCACGCGCCCATAGTCCCAGCTACTCAGGAGGCTGAGGCAGGAGAATCACTTGAACCCGGCAAGCGGAGGTTGCAGTGAGCTGAGATCGTGCCACTGCACTCCAACCTGGGCAATAGAGCGAGACTCTGTCTCGAAAAAAAAAAAAGAGCAATTTAAAAACATGAGCATTTGGGAGGACAGGTAAGTAGGAAGAATGCCAGGATCCATCTGTTTCTAATTTTCTCTCTCTATTTTAAGTTTTCTTTTCAATTATGAAATATTTCAATATATAGAAAACTATTTAATATAAGGAAACTATGACAGAAGTAAATACTGTCATCGTTGCCACAGATCTCTCTTTTTAAAAAGAAAAGAGACCAGGTGCAGTGGCTCACGCCTATAATCCCAGCATTTTGGGAGGATGCAGTGGGAGAATGCCTTGAACCCAGGAGTTCACGACCAGCCTGGGCAACACAGGGAGACCCCCCTCTCTACAAAAAATAGGGAGTTGAACAATGAGAACACATGGACACAGGGAGGGGAACATCACACACCAGGGCCAGTCGCAGGGTGGAGGGCAAGGAGAGGGAGAGCATTAGGAAAAATACCTAATGCATGAGGGGCTTAAAACCTAGATGATGGGTTGGTAGGTGCAGCAAACCACCATGGCACATGTATATATACCTATGTAACAAACCTGCACATTCCGCACATGTATCCCAGAACTTAAAGTAAAATAAATAAATAGATAAATAAATAAATAAGAAAAAAAGAAAAGGAGTGAAATGTATGAAATACCACTAATGCCTCACATAAGTCCTCCTCACCGTCCCTTCCTCCTCACTCTATTCCAGGAAGTAGCCACCATCCAGGAATTGTGTGCACCATTCCTTTGCATAGTTGTACATATTTGTTAAATGTAGATGTAGCCATAAACTACATACGAAGTTGTCTTGTATGATTTCAATTTGAATCACGTGGACGGCATCGTCTTATACCGGGATTGTCTCTTCAAAGGAGGTAAGACCGTCTTTTCCATTTTTGTAATTGTAGTAAAATACACAAAACATAAAATTTACCACCTTAATCATTTTTGTGTAACTATCACCATCATCCATCCACAAAACTTCTCATCTTGCAAAACTGAAACTCCATACGAACTTCACATCCTTCCTTCCTTCAGCACCTGGCACCCACCATTCTACTTTCTGTCTCTATGGTTGTGACTACTCTGGGTACCTCGCAGAAGTAGAATCATAGAGTGCTTGTCTTTTTGTGGCTGGCTTATTTCACTCAGCATAATGTCCTCAAGGTTCATCCATGCTGTAGTGTGTGTGTCAGAATCTCCTTCTTTTTAAGGCTAAATAATATCTCAGACACATCAGACACATATTTTTTTTTGAGACGGATTCTTGCTCTGTCACCCAGGCTGGAGAGCAGTGGCGCGATCTCAGCTCACTGCAACCTCCACCTCCCGGGTTCAAATGATTCTCCTGCCTCAGCCCCCCGAGTAGCTGGAACTGCAGGCGCGTGCCACCACATCTGGCTAATTTTTTGTATTTTTAGTAGAGACGGGGTTTCACCATTTTAGCCAGGATGGTCTCGATCTCCTGACCTCGTGATCTGCCCACCTCAGCCTCCCAAAGTGCCAGGATTACAAGCGTGAGCCACTGCTCCTGGCCCTCAGACATGTTTTTAAGAAGTCAGGCTAGTCCAACAACCCACCATCTCATGTCATCCTCACTTCCTCCTCTACAAGCCCCCTGCCACCTATACACAAACACCCTCAAAGATGGAGAGCGCCCACTCTTCCAAAAGGAGGTAAGGAGTAGAAGCAGCTTCATGCAGCAAAGCAAGTGCTGGTCCTGATGGAAAGAAGACACCGCTAACAGGACCTGCATTTCACCTGGGGAACATGCAGGGTGGAGACAAGGGATGATACTGACCCAACGATTTACTGTTTATAAAAGCATGTGTAGGGTCGGGCACGGTGGCTCATATCTGTCTGTAATCTGAGTGCTTTAAGAGGCTGAGGTAGGAGGATCCCTTGAGCCCAGGAGCTCCAGACCAGCCTGGGCAACAATGCAAAACATTGTATCTACAAAAAATAAAAATAAAAACACCAGGGGCCAGGCGCTGTGGCTTATACCTCTAATCCCAGCACTTTGGGAGGCCGAGGCAAATGGATCATTTGAGGTCAGGAGTTCAAGACCAGCCTGCCCAACGTGGTAAAACTCCATGTCTACTAAAAAATAAAAAATAATAAAAAATAAAAAACACAAAGGTTAGCCAGTCATGGTGGCGCGTGTGTGCAATCCCAGCTACTCAGGAGGCTGAGGCAGGAGAATCACTTGAACCTGGGAGGAGGAGGTTGCAGTGAGCCAAGATCGTGCCATTGCACCCCAGCCTGGGCCACAGAGTGAGATGCCATCTCATAAAATAAAATAAAATCAGCAGCCAGGTGTGGTGGTATCCCTGTAGTCTCAGCTACTCTGGAGGCTGAGGTGGGAGGATCGCTTAAGTCCATGAAGTCGAGGCTGCAGTGAGCTATGATTGTACCACTGCACTCTAGCCTAGGCACAGAGTGAGACCCTGTCTCTGAAAGAAGAAAAACCATGTGCACACATTACCTTGTTTAGTCCTTGCATCCTTTACCTACGAGTTCCAGGAATATTACTGCACCTCGAAGGCCCCCAGGGGATGGTACAGTGATGTCATTTTTCTATATTCCGTGAGAGTAGCCTCCAAAACTCTTGACCAATCCTTCCCCAAACCTGTCCAGTGTCCTCAGGAGTGGAGCTTGACTTTCAATAAGGAAAGGCAATGAGGAGAACCAACACAGACTAGGAATAAAAGGGCCAGGAAGAAAGGAGAAACAGAAGCTATCAGCCCCAGCAATGGGCCAGGCCTACGCAAGGTGATGTACACATCACCTGTTACATTCTAATTCTACACAGTGGTGTGAGGAGTGTAATAATATGAGTGTTCCCACTTCCATTCAATGGCCATCAGATTCAGAAGGTTTAGGTGCATGCCTGAGGCCACACACAAGTCAGAAGCAGCACTGAGATTCAGAATCAGGGCCATCCAACTCCAGACTTTCAAAGCATAAAGTCTAGGGAATTTGGGTGGGTCATAAAGTCTAGGGAGTTTGAGTGGGTCAGGAACCACCTTTCAGGGTTGGCTCATGACACAGCCACATTTGTCAGAGTGGGAGAACAAATCTTTCCCCCCTCTCCTCCCTAGGTGAAGCTGTCACAGGGCAGGGGCCTGGGGCATTTTATGGGGAGAAGGAAAGCTGGAAGGAGTCCATTGAGGGTGGATTTTTCTCTGATGCAGAGATGAGCAGGTGCCGAGCCTTCAAGATCTGCAATTTGAAGCTAGGAGTGGTTCTGCTTGGGACCAAGGAGATTGAAGAGGCCCCAGAGGAGAAGATGGGCTGGGACTAACTCTGATCTAGAGCTCAGCTTTCACATCCCAGGGTTTCCAGGATGGCCTCCAACTCCAAATATGCATTCATCCTGGTCAGTCTTAGCTCTCAATTCTTGAATTAGAAAATACTGTAATTTGGCCGGGCACAGTGGTTCACACCTGTAATCCCAGCACTTTGGGAGACCGAGGTGGGTGGATCATGACGTCAAGAGTTCAAGACCAGCCTGGCCAAGATGGTGAAACCCCCGTCTCTACTAAAAATACAAAAATTAGCCGGGCGTGGTGGGGGGAGCCTGTAATCCCAGCTACTCGGGAGGCTGAGGCAAGAGAATCGTTTGAACCCAGGAGGCGGAGGTTGCAGTGAGCCGAGATCGCACCACTGCACTCTAGCCTGGGCAATGAGAGTGAAACTCCATCTCAAAAAAAAAAAAAAAAAAGAAAAGAAAAGTAAAAAGAAAGAGAGAAAGGAAGGGAAGGAAGAAAGCAAAGAAAGGAAAGAAAAGAAGAAAGAAAATACCATAATTTCAGAGTTAGGCAAAACTTCAGGATTCTTTCCTACATAGAATAGTAAAGCAGACAGGTGTTTGGAGAAAGAATCTCTTTGTGGACGACAAAGTATGTTTTGGTTGGAATATTCCTTATCTGCCCTGTGGCAATTAAATTGAAAAAAAAGAAAAATCTGAAGCCCCATGCCCCTGAGTAGATCTGAGTTTTCATTAGTTCAACTAAAGCTCCCAGGGAACTTTGTCCAAATTCAAACATAATTCCATGACAAAGAACCCACCATCCTGTCCTGCCTCTTCTCCATCATCAGGGACATGAGGCAAAATCGAAGTTGTCTAGTGTTATTCAACCAAGTTCTGAGGAACTTGTAGGCTAAAAACTTGGAGCATCTTTTAGGCTTGTCGAGACCATCATCCAAATAGCCAGGTAGGCAGATGCTTTCAAAGCATCAAGTCCCGGGGGTTTGGATGAGTCAGGAACCATCTTGCAGGGTTGGCTCATGACAGAGCCACTGACAGTAAGTCTGAGGGAGAGCAGAAACCACACAATAGTCTTCACACAGAGGTGCCCGTCAATGTCACCAATGACTCCACATCACTAAAGCTGACAGGCACTTCTCAGACCCTACGTTACTTGACCAATCAGCAGCATTGAACACAGATAATAATTTATTTAAAAAAAACTTGGCCAGGCACGGTGGCTCATGCCTATAATTCCAGCACTTTGGGAGGCCGAGGTGGCCGGATCACAAGGTCAGGAGATTGAGACCATCCTGGCCAATATGGTGAAACCTCGTCTCTACTAAAATACAAAAATTAGCCGGGCGTGGTGGTGGGGGCTTGTAGTCCCAGGTACTCGGCGCGGCTGAGGCAGGGGAATTGCTTGAACCCAGGAGGTGGAGGTTGCGGTGAGCCGAGATCGTGCCACTGCACCTCAGCCTAGTGACAGAGCAAGACTGTCTCAAAAAAAAAAAAAAAAAGAAAAACTTTACACAAGAGGTTGTTTGAGCAAAGAAAATACACATACAGGTAAAACTGTATATACGCTTTTAAAAGTTAGGAAGTAGCTACCCTCAGGGCTGGAGAGAGACATGATGAGGCATGTTGGCAATGTTCTGTTTCTTGATCTGCATGCTGGTCACGTGAATATATTCAGTCTATGAAGATTCATCAAGCTCTACATTTACGTGTGTGTTTCTAATATGTACATTAAGTGTCAATAAAATTCTGGGACTTTTTTAATCTTCCTGGTTATTTCTAATTTCCAAGAAAGAAATACAGTCTTCTTTACCCCCCCCACATACGCACACACACACACACACACACGTGCACACACACAGGTGCGCACACACACACGCACGCACACACGCACACACACATGCACACACACACATGCGCGCACACACACACATGCACACACACTGCTCTTAGTCCTACTCCTGATTGGCTCAATGCTGTTTACCGCACAAATTAGGACCTGATTGTGATTGGCCTTCTGGTTTGGGATGGCTCCAGTACTTGAACTGGGTTTCTGTCTCTCCAGTTCTAATCCTACTGAGTTTCCTTATGTAATGAAAATATTTCACATTTGGGATAAATTCTTAGTATCCTCAACCGCTAAAGATAACAGTAGTTACCTTCCTACGGCCCGGGATCTATGCTAGGCCCACACTGTGCAGTATGGTTTGTCCTCCCATTGGTCCTGCCCATTTTACAGACAGGGAAGCTAAGGCTCAGAGAGGTGAGAAACACTCTCAAGAGTGTGCTCTTTCTGATATTTCCTGTCACACCTCCCAGTGGCTCTTTCTGCAAAAGGCTTCATTCTGTTTAGCAGTTTTCTATGCTTTTCATCTCCAATTAGAAAGCAAAGGCCAGATGGTCTTCTGCCACATGCATCCAAACTACCTGGAAGCTACCTGATTACGAGGGTTACCGGAAGTGAGGGCAAGGATGTTTGTGCTGAAAATCCCAGGTTTGGATCCCTCGTGCTCAGTCCCAAACTGCAGAGGAAACCTCTAATACTCAGGCAAGCCAGGAGAGCTTTGGCAAGAGCCCTGAAATCAGACCCGGCCAGCATGTGTTCCTGAATATCAGAATAGACACTATATTTACCCTGACAGCCTTTTAGTGCAACTGAAAGCTATAAATAACCATTAGGGCCCAAGCAAGTGGCCTTAACACATGGATTTTCTTCCAAAAATGCAGACCCATTTTAATTAAGTTTGTAATTAACCACTGGGGAGGGCAGGCCCCCTGGATTCGGTCTGCTTTCGGAGACACTGTGAGTAACTTCCTATTTGTTGAACATTTGGGGATTAGCACGCCCACTGGGTGTTCAGCTTGGAGGCTTGCACAGAGCTGAGCTCCCTGCAGCCTTGGGCCTCCCCCTGCCCTGGGAGTCCTGATCAGCGTCTCTTTGCAAAGCCAATCCCCTTTTACTCCGTTGTCCCCCAGAACAAGATGGGAGTCATGGCCATGCTGATGCTCCCCCTGCTGCTGCTGGGAATCAGCGGCCTCCTCTTCATTTACCAAGAGGTGTCCAGGCTGTGGTCAAAGTCAGCTGTGCAGAACAAAGTGGTGGTGATCACCGATGCCATCTCAGGACTGGGCAAGGGTAAGCTGGCTTTGCTCCCACCTGTGCCCATTTCTGCCCCCAGGGACTGGCAGGATGGCAGGGTGGCAGGGCGGCAGGGCGCTGTGTGGGCAAACCTGCTCGGTGGGAGGGGATCGATCCTGTGTTCTCTCCCAGCTTCTATCATTAACCAGCAAGTTTCCCATCTTTTGGAGGCTGCAGATTCCTGATAAATGAGGGTGGTGGAATATCTAGGGTTGCAAACTCACAGCCTAAGGGCTAAAACTGGTCTGCAGATGTGATTTGTTTTGGCTTCATGGGGTTTCCAGAAATTTTGAAAATTCAAAGCCTTTAGCTGGGGCAATGTACTGGTTGTGAGCCCAGACTCAGGAGCTGGGTTCAGTTCCTGGCTCCAGCAATGACTAGCTGGTTACTTCACTTCTCTGCCTTAAACTTCTCATCTGTAAGGCGAGGATAACAGCAGTCTCTACCTCATGCTGCCATTGTGAGGAATAAACGAGTTCATAGATGGATAGCACTTAGAACAGTACCTGGAGCTACAGTGGATATCACTCAAGGGTTAGTAATGATGATCATGAACACATATAGGCAAAACATGCCCACGCTAGTGGGCCACACACCCCACCCATCCCTATTGCATCACACTTGGCCTGATTCTTTCAATCATTACACTTTCTGGCATTGAAGGCATTTGCATTTGCAACTCCTGAATTATATCACCTCAGAGAGGCCCTTCTGCTGGTGACATCTATGACATGAGGGGCCGTAATTGTCCTTAAGTTTGCAAGATTCTGACTCTATCCTTCCAGACAATGGTAGTACAACTTTATATGTTACATAGTTAGTGCAACTTTTGCTGTTGTTTTTATTATTTTTAATAGAGCATAGATCCCACACAGCCAAACATTCATTAGTAACTCAGTAAGTGTCCACTGAGTCCACTATGTCCTGAGCATTGCCCCGAGAGTCCCTCTGGGGGGCTGGGCACTTACTCTCATAGTGCTGCCATCGTGAGAACGTTTGTAACCTCCCTGAGAATTTTCTCAGAGCCTGCTGCTTAGCCTCTTCGGCATCCCAATGGGAGCCAATCTGCACGCTTTGAGGATGGCTTAGTTTTCAGTGGGTGATCGACCCAGGTGCATCTTGTTAAGATAAAAAACAAAGCATAAGGCAGATAGACTAGGCTCTCTAAGTGGCCCCTAGATGAGTCTCACACACAATTCCCAGAGAGGATATCCTGTATCAAAAGGGAGCGAGGTACACAAACTCAAACTCCTTCTTCAAGGGCAAGCCAGGGCACACACATCTGTCAATCAGACCAGACAAAAGACAACAGGGAGTGTGCCGCCCTGGAGAGCTGGAAAAGAGATGCCCACCTAAAGCTATTCAGAACAGAAGGCTTTGCGAAAAATTTGCTCTCCAAATAGCGCACCTTTGTCTGGCATTGCACCAGGCTGCTAACATGCGATCCCTGATACGGCCTCTACCCTGGAGCCTGTCCTGACACCTTAATTGCTCCTTCCTCTTGAATGGTCCTTGTGGACCAGCTTCTTAACTGGCCCCTTGTAAGTGCACACCACATTAGTGTATTTCTCATGCTGTATCTGTGTGTTTCTCAGTGGGTCCACTAGATACAGGCTTCCTGGTGCTGGAGCCTGTGTTTTGTTCACCCAGGCAGCCTCAGCACCTAGCTCAATGCTTGGTTGACATCCTCAGAAAATGTGTATTTAATGAATAACCTCTAAAAGTGACATGTGATCAGGGAAGGCCCTCATTTGGATAAGTGTGTTCTTGCAAATTTGTTTTATTGCTTTCCAGCTTGATTCCAACATGGTTGGAGAATACGCTCTGTATGATTTCGATTCTTTTAAATGTGCTGAGGTTTGTCTTATGACCTATCTCGATATGGGTTCTGCGAGTGCTTGACAAGAATGTACGTTCTGCCGTTGTCCTACAAATGTGGATTCGATCCTGTTTGTTGGGGAGGTTGCTCAGTTCTTCCGTAGCCTTGCTAGTTTTGTGTCTTATTAGGTAGAAATACAGTTTTACTGATCGTTGAGAGATGTGTGTTTGTTTTAATCATCTCATTCATTTTTAAAACACCTCATTCAGTTGTAGTCACACGTGATCAAATCAGGCACCCAGGAAATACATCTCATGAGGGAAACAGCCTTTGCAGGACCTCATGGCCTAGCTTGTCGTGTCTACTGTCACTGTTCTTTTTTTACTATATCTCATTGACCCACCCTGGAAAGAAATGCAAAGAAGAAAAAAATAAAGTCCCGGTACTTAGCAGTAACTTGAGATGCTGGATGTGTGTGACCTTAAATAAATGCCTAGCTCTCCACGCTGCTGACGGCAGTGATTCCAGGCTCCCATTGCTGCATGTCTTAAGTCCAGGGCACTGAGTGGATGATGCAGGCTGTGCACAGCCGCTGCACACCCTGGTGCCACGGAACCTGCACGAACCCCATGGGTGCCATCGGGAGCAGCAGGGATTGCCACACCAAGTTGTTTACTAGGGAAATCAAACAGACAGACAAAGACTGGGGCATCTAGCCCTCGCTCTAAACCTCCTGGATTTGGCCAAGCGGGGAATCCTGTCACCTTGTACCCACTGTGTCTGCAGCAAGAGTGACAATCAAGGCCAGGCACGGTGGCTCACGCCTGTAATCCCAGCACTTTGGGAGGCTGAGGCGGGTGGATCACTTGAGGTCAGGAGTTCGAGACCAGCCTGGCCAACATGGTAAAACCCCGTCTCTACTGAAAATACAAAAATTAGCTGGGGGTGGGGGCTCTTGCCTATAATCCCAGCTACTTGGGAGGCTGAGGCAGGAGGATTGCTTGAACCCAAAAGGCGGAAGTTGCAGTGAGCCGAGATCATGCCACTGCACTCCAGCCTGGGTGGCAGAGTGAGAATCCATCTCAAAAAATTAATTTATTTATTTATTTTAAAAAAAGAATGGCTATCGGAATAGCCAACCCCTGCAGTTGAGCTGCTTCAGAGGATACAGCTGAATGTCAGCCCTGCCTGTGTGTTATCACCTCAAAGGTGCAGTTTCTGTCCTTTAAACATTTCTGAAATCAGACTGATTGTCTTTCCATCCATAGCATCTTACAATCCCCATAGGCCACCCTTTAAAATGTCGCTGTGGCTCACGCCTGTAATCCCAACACTTTTGGGAGGCCGAGGTAGGTGAATCGCTTGAACTCAGGAGTTCGAGACCAGCCTGGGCAACATAGTAAGACCCCCGCATATCTACAGAAAATGTAAAACTTAGCCAGGTGTGGTGGCATATGCCTGCATTCCCAGCTACTCAGGAGGCTGAGGTGGGAGGATCGTTTGAGCCCGGGAGGCGGAGGTTGCAGGGAGCTGAAATCACACCACTGCACTCCAGTCTGGGCGACAGAGTGAGACCCTGTCCCCAAAAAAATTAAAATTAAAATTAAAAGTCATTTATTATCTCTGAAATCAGGCAACAGCTCATCATCGATGGCATCTGACATTGATGAAATACAGAAAGAAGGGCTCAATTTATGCTTATTGAATGAAAAAGAAAAGCCTGGTACCAAAGTGCTCGATGCGAGATACCTGCTGAGCTGATAAAAGAATAGAAATAAGGACACCTGGGTATACCAAAGGCCTGGTTTCAGCAGAAATGACTTCTTCAGGAGCAGCACCTCTAGGCTTGGCTGCAGTAGCACCGAGGCACTGAGCACGCCACTGGGCTCCAGCCTCCCAGGCACACCTGGGCAAGGCAAGGTGTTAGTGGCGAAGGGAAATGGAGTGATGGGGAAGAATGCTCCTAGCTGTCTGTTCTAACAAGGCCAAGGCCAGAGGTTTGATCTGGCTCCTGCTCACAGGCCCCTCACCTGCTCCAGTGCCCTGCTGCAAATAGATGCTCTGGCCAGGTGCAGTGGCTCATGCCTGTAATCCCAGCACTTTGGGAGACCGAAGCAGGGGGATGACCTGAGGTCAGGAGTACGAGACTACCCTGGCCAACATGGTGAAACCCCGTCTCTACTAAAAATACAAAAATTAGCTGGGCATGATGGTGGACGCCTGTAATCCCAGCTACTTGGGAGGCTGAGGCGGGAGAATCACTTGAACCTGGGAGGCAGAGATTGCAGTGAGCTGAGATCACGCCACTGCACTCCAGCCTGGGCAACAAGAATGAAACTCCATCTCAAAAAAAAAAATAGATGCTCATCATCAAGAGAGGGAGGGAGCGAGGAGTGAAAATGCACCCTCAACGTGTCCCTTTCTCAGCAGTGGGCATTGGCCAAGAGGAGCCTAGTGTGGAGAATGCGTTACTCCCCATCTGGATGTCAGACTCCTGGGGTTCACATCCTGGCTTCCCTGCTGGCCAACTGTGGGACTCCGGGTGATTCATTTCAACCCACTGAACCTCACTTCTCTCATTTGTAATATCCAACCATCATTCTGCTCCAGAATGACAGCTGAAATGCAGAAAGACTAGACTTTCTGCTGCCCACGGAAGTTTCTGTTAGTGAATTCTGTTATAAAAGCCATGTATATTTAAAAGAATTTTTTTAAGTAAAAAGAACACAAAACACACGTAGAACCCCACGTGCTTGGGGACATCCTGTGTGAACACATCCTTCATTTCCTTTCAGGGGGATGCTTATGTGAGTAACCAGTCATGAGCGAGCATGAATCAAGGGTGTCGTGAGACAGTACACCTCAAATTTATTCAGAGGGGAGAGTCCTTCCTCTGCAGCTTGAGAAAAAAAAATCAGGCGGTTCCTGACTTTTCTGATTAATTATTATTATTATTATTATTATTATTATTATTATTATTTGAGACGGAGTTTTGCTCTTGTTGCCCAAGCTGGAGTGCAGTGGCACGATCTCAGCTCACTGCAACCTCAGCCTCCCGGGTTCAAGCGATTCCCCTGCCTCAGCCTCCGGAGTAGCTGGGATTACAGGCACCTGCCACCATGCCCGGCTAATATTTTTTTGTATTTTTAGTAGAAACGGGGTTTCACCATGTTAGCCAGGGTGGTCTCAAACTCCTGACCTCAGGTAATCCACCCGCCTCGGCCTCCCAAAGTGCTGGGATTACAGGCGTGAGCCACCGCACCCGGCCTCTGATTACTATTAGATTATGCAAAATCCTTCCGTCACGGTGGGTCCCGAAACAGAGCATTGATTCTGGAATTGGGATGCCCAGTCTAATACCTGATAACATGTCCATTTTCATTGAATTCGAACTTTCTTCCCCCTCTCTGCTCCTCCCCACAGCTAGTGCAAGTTGGAGGGAAGCTTCCTGCTGTTTCTGAGGCTTCTAGGGCCTCAGGGACTGGAAGGAGACAAGATAGGAGAGCGAGAAAAACTCTCACCCAACTGACAGTGCTATAAGATGGCTTCAAGGTCCATGGGCCTGGCACATGTCTAAAACTGGGTCTGAATCTTTCTCTCGTGGGCACTTTCATGTGCCTTTCAGAGGCCTCCCTAGGATTATTCATTTCTGTGAAATGGGAGATGTGGGTTTTTTCTCCACTCACTCAATCCCTCCTTAGCCCCTGGTTCCCGGGCAGTCTACTCCCCACCAACCCTGTCCTTTGGAGTTCCACTGCCCTTCTGAGAGGTCCTCTTGGGCAGTCTTCAGACGAGCTCTCAACCAACTCATGACCTACCTTGGCCATTGGTGGCTGTGACTTCTTTGGCTCTGCAGGCCACCCCCAATGAAGAGGTCCCAGTTTTCCTTTTCTCTGCCCTCAGGGCATTGGCTGAGCCCAGGATCTTGCCCATAAGACATGAAGCTGGGCTCCTGGCTGCGGGGAACTGTGCTGTTCTGTTGATTCCTCCTGTGCCCTTCACTCTGGGATGGAGGCAAAGGAAAACAGCCCCAGCCTGGGCCCATGGGCGAAAACTCACCTAACATTCTTTCCAGGCGATCCTCCTTCGAAGTCCCCGCTATTCCTCCTCTTCTTTGATTCATTTGTGTCCTATTTGTGGGTAAAGGGAACTGAACTTCATATGACATGTTTTTAAAATTTCCTTTGAAAGTCAGCATCTTGGACTGGCATCTAACTTAGGAATTTATATCTTTATATCTATTTGATCTCAGTGCCTCAGTTAAACTTCTAATGTAACCTATTTTTACATATAGATATGTAGATTTACTATTCTATTACATACATAAACACACAACCCAGCGTTATGGCATCGTATTCAACACACTGTTTTGAATCTTTTTTAAAATTATTTTTAAACTTACTCTATTGCGAACTTCGTTCCATGTCAATAGACCAATTTCTGCAACATCAGTTGTTAGGGCTTCAAAATTGTTATTCACAGTGGCCAAGAATGTGGCCAAGACTATTTCCAATTTTGTTTTTGATTATCTGATAGATTAAAATTAGCCCCATGTTTTAGTTTGCATTTATGTATTACTGGTATTGACTCACCTTCTGTATCTTGATACTTCTTTTGTGAGTTGCTTACTCATCTCCTTAACCAATTTCTTTATTAGCAACTTTATCTTTTTTCTAATTGATTTGTAAGAGTTCTTCACATATCAAATTAACCCTTTTCTGACATATAGATTATAAACACTTTTTCTAAATTTGTCTTGTCCTTTACTTATGGGTGTTTTTTGTTTTCGTTTTTGTTTTGCTGTAAGATTTTCTGTTTTGTTTTGTTTTGTTTTTTTGAGATGGAGTCTCACTCTGTTCCCCAGGCTGGAGTGCAGTGGCGCAATCTCAGCTCACTGCAAGCTCCGCCTCCTGGGTTCACGCCATTCACCTGCCTCAGCCTCACAAGTAGCTGGGACTACAGGCACCCACCACCATGCCTGGCTAATTTTTTGTAGTTTTAGTAGAGACGGGGTTTCACCGTGTTAGCCAGGATGTTCTCGATCTCCTGACCTCGTGATCTGCCCGCCTTGGCCTACCAAAGTGCTGGGATTACAGGTGTGAGCCACCACACCCAGCCAAGAAGGTTTTTTTTAAAAGGGTAAAATCTATAAATCATTTCTATTAGGATTTTTTTTCTTTCAATGGATGCTCAGGAGTCCTCCCCAATGCAAGGGTATATATTCATCTCTATCTTCGTCTATTTCTGTTTTGGTTATGTTTTTATATTTCACTACTTAGTATATTTTGGTGTAATGCATCCAGCTTTTTTTCCCTCCCAGATAGGTATTCAAATACCATTTTAAAAAAAAAAACAAAAAAACAAAAAAAAAACAGAGTCTCACTCTGTTGCCCAGGCTGGAGTGCAGTGGCATGATCTCAATTTACTGCAGTCTCCATCTCCTGAGTTCAAGAGATTCTTCTTCCTCAGCCACCCAAGCAGCTGGGATTAAATTTTTGAATTTTTAGTAGAGACGGGGTTTCATCATGTTGGCCAGGCTGGTCTCCAACTCCTGACCTCAAGTGATCTGCTCACCTTGGCCTCCCAAAGTGCTGGAATTACAGGCATGAGCCACCGCGCCCAGCTCCCACTTTTTACGTAATACATTCTTTTCCCGTTGGCTCAACATGTTAACTTTATCATACACTAAATTCTCCTCAATACCTGACTCTATTTATTATCAATATTTCTATCTAGACTTGAACTGCTAACTCTTTAATTTCTGTAGTTTTACAATATATTTTAACAACTGTTTTTCAACATGTTCTTTGCTTTCCTTCATATTGAGTATTCCAATTAAAGTGTGCAAAATATGCCATATAAAGTGTAGGATCTTTCTGTCATTTCCCAAGACCCGTTGGGATCCTGATTTACTGGATCAATTTAACTTGGAGACAAATTGACATCTTTATTGAATTTTGTCATCCAGACTCATCACGGACAGCCTCTTTCTCAATAAAACACTTGCATTGAGAGGAATCTTCCCTCTCTGCAGCCGTAACAATTCAAGGTGACATTGTTAACCCAGTTACTTCTGGATTCGGGTTTCCCTCTGTCAGCAGACTGAGCTCTCCTAGAGCCCTCCTCCCAGCTCTCTCAGGATGCCCAGTACACCTGTTTTAAGGCCTCATGGAGACCTCTTATCCCCACAACTCTCTGCTTGGGTCCTCTCTTGGCCTTTTCTGCCTTCACTCCTGCTCCCACCTGATTTAGACTTCATAGTCCAGCATCTCAATTCCTCCATCTCTCCAATACCACAGTTTCCCTGTCCATGATGCCCACTTACCAAACCCTGGCCAACTGTCCTGTGCAGCAGGTCCCTTCTCTCCACCTGCAGCAGGCTTCTTGGCTCTGCTGGAGAAAATCACACAACCCTGAGTTCACTTGGAGGCCACAACACTCGGGATATTCAGCCTCCACTGGGCACCAGGCTGCCAGGCTGTCCTTCCGTGTTCCCAGCCAGTCTGAGTCCACTACTTCATGGTGTAAATGAGACAATGATAGGTTCTTCCCTGCAGTAGGTGCTGTTGGTGCCTCTTCCAGATCCCTGTATTTGGTCAGTTCATCCATTTCCCAGGCACTGTAAGAGTTGGCTGCAAATGGCATGCAGATTGCAAATGGCGTGCAGATGCCTCCTTTCCCAAAGACTTGTCCTCTGCCAGTGGACGCTGCCCTACCTAGGAGTTACACAGCCTATGCACGCACCCCCAGAGAGGGCAGCCCCATCAGTGACTGATTGACACTGGTGTACAAAGGCCGATCCTCTTGCCTCCAGCTCTGCAATGGAGTTTAGACTCCAGAGTCTTTCCTGGATCAAACCAAAGCTAGACTTTCCTGAGACCACATCCTCTCCTGGCCCCTATTCCATGACCTCACTCCCCGATAGGCTGTCTCTGAAGAGCAAGCCCTCAGTAAATCCTGGCCACCCGAATCCTTGTCTCAGAGTCTGCTTCCTAGGAACCCAACCTAAAGATACTGTCTCATAAGGTTATTGTGAGTATTAAATGAACTAGAGCGATATGTAAGAGATATGTACATATCTTTCAACAGTTCCTACAGCAAGCAAACTCTCCAAATCTGTGAGCTTCTATTGCTTTTAAGTATCATCGGTATTGCTACACAAGAATTCTGTATGTCTACCAGGTAACACTTAGTTGAGAAAATGCTATATTGGGTGAGTCAGGAATCAGTCCAGAGGAAAATTAATTAGACAGAAAGTAGGTTTACTTTTTAAATAAAAAGAACCCTGGCTGAGGTGTCTATCCCCAGAGAAAATGTGGAGGAAACTGGTGACATTTGATTTGAAAAAACATGGTGGTTTGTCTCCATTATCTTTAGATTGAGATATCTCTAGGGCTGCGGTCCTGGGGGACCAGGTGGGCAGGTTCATCCTTCTGTTCAGTGTAAGGAAGAATTTCCAATAATCAGAACTTTCTAACAAAGGAGGAGTTGTCTCACTCCACTATGAGCTCACTTTCACGGAAGCAACTAAGCAGAGGCTGGAAATGACAAAAATTCCAGCCCGGGGAGGGAGTTCAATGAAGTGACCCCTAAAGGACCTCGTGGTGCTAAGACTTCTGAGTTTTTTGAATTCATGAGTTCCCAAGAGAGGGGGTTCACTGTCAGTGGCTCCATCCACACAGTGTGCCCTGCCCTGTTTCCTTCTTCCCCACAGAGTGTGCTCGGGTGTTCCACACAGGTGGGGCAAGGCTGGTGCTGTGTGGAAAGAACTGGGAGAGGCTAGAGAACCTATATGATGCCTTGATCAGCGTGGCTGACCCCAGCAAGGTAAGGTCTTCTAGCAGTAGGCGTGGGTAACTCCTGGGAACTCCCAGCCTCCATTGATTGTTCAGGACCAGCTCTTGGACCAAGTGGAGGAAACTTGGTGATTGCTCTGGGGAATGTGAGGCAATGAACCCAATGACCTTGACATAGGCATGTTTGCCATTCATAAAGGGTTGACTTGTTTTGACCACCCACCATGACAAAATCATGTTCTGTAGCCACAGCTCCTTGCCCTGACCCTATGTAACTCAAACTCAACAAGGATCCAGAAGACAGAGGATGTTACAGGTATGGACTGTGATTACAAACACAGTCATTTTTTTTTAAATACCTGAACTGATATCTCCATCAAAGAAACCAGATAAATGAGATCCCTTCCCAAGAACTCTCCCAGGAAGTGAACACTTATTTCAAAAAGGCTGCAGTTTCCAAAGGTTTTTCTGGAGCACTGGTCAGGGGACTGTCTTTGGAGCTCCCTTCAGGATATATTTTTCTAATCTTTATCTTTGAGGTTGCATTTGCTGGCTCAAAGTAATTCGGAGGTAAGTCTAATATTTGAGGAGATGAATCAAACAGGACAACACAGAATGCCCCAAAGTGTGTTTCTAGGGATGTGATTAGGCACTGGGTAAAAGCAAGGGTTTGCGGTCAATTGTGTGAGAAACACTGAGTTAAGCTAAGCTTGTCCAGTTTCTTCACTGCAGGACTTTTCAGAGCCTTTAATATGCCAGTGTGCACTGTGTATCTCCAAGAAGAACTTGGAGAACAGCCTATGTTTCCCAAACAAATTTGACTACGGAACCCTCTCTTCAAGGGCATATCTCAGGACTAGTCTTTGTCAAACACTGGGATTGCATTTACCCCTTGGTGTCAACAATTTTCCCATCTGTCCACCCTCCTACACATCCCTAGATCAATAGAGTCTTGATGCAGCAAGTATCTGGCTAAACACAGTGCCTGGCACATAGTAGGTGCTTCAAAAATATTGTGTTGAGTGTATGATTTTAGTTTTTTAAAATATGGCTATTAAGTACTGTGATAGATTTTTTTTTTTCAACTTGCAAGCCAGGTTGAAAAGCAATTTCCACAAAGGGGCTCAGAAATGTTAAAAGTAATGATGTCACCACTGGAGTCAGTGCAACCCTGCAAAGGGACTGCCGTGAAGGGCAATATTCATTTATCAGTTCTGGAACCCTGGCCAAGAGTTTAGATTTATCGCTGCATATTCGTGTCAAGATTTGTTGTTGTTTTTGCCCTGGTCCCCAAGTATGAATTATCTGGCAATATCCTCCATCCCAGAATCATCTCTGCTTCTTCGTCTTTTTTTTTTTTTCAGTCATTTCATTATCTTTGAATTTCAAAATGGGTGGCTTTTAGATCGAGGGCTCCCAAGGTCTGCAAGAGGGAGGAGATCTCACACATACCCTGACTCTCTCATTGGTTCAGCAGACATTCACCCCAAAGCTGGTCCTGTTGGACCTCTCAGACATCAGCTGTGTCCCAGATGTGGCAAAAGAAGTCCTGGATTGCTATGGCTGTGTGGACATCCTCATCAACAATGCCAGTGTGAAGGTGAAGGGGCCTGCCCATAAGATTTCTCTGGAGCTCGACAAAAAGATCATGGATGCCAATTACTTTGGCCCCATCACATTGACGAAAGGTCTCGTGAGTTTGACTTTCCCATGGGTATCTGGGCCACCAGATTCTACAGAGGCCTCTGTTAATTAGCCAGACAGTCATCCTATTCTATATGGAATTCCCCAGTCCCCTCAGAAAATTCCCTACCTATTGGGTGAAAGCTTTCACCATTCCCATTGTAAGTGTTTATGAAGGAAAAGGAACTCAGGAAGTATCTGATTGGTATATTTCAACCACCATCTCTGTGAAACCCCTCTCCCCACCCAAGCTTTGCCCTTTTACTTCTCTCTCCTTACATCCATGGCTTCCCTCCAATTCGACGTCTCTGAAAAATTGTCTCATCCTCCAACAATTGTCTCAACAATCATGTACATTCTGCTATATCAACCTTGTGGTTGACCTGCTTCTAACCATTACAGTTGGTCAAAGGTAAAGATTCTGTCCTCAGAAATGAAGAAGAAAAAGGGCTTATCACCAGACTACAAGAGACCCAGTATTCTGTCAACCCCTTCACAGAAACAGGGAAAGGCAGGAGGCTGTCTCCCTTTAATGAGTAAGATGGTGATTCCTACGTGAACCTGTCTGAGGGGCCTAGGAGATACCCAGGTGCAGATTTCTCACCATCAAGTTCAAACGCAGGTCTGAAGCCTGGGAAGTGGGGCTGGAAATGACCATAGAGTAGAATAGAAAGTTGACAGATCATGAAGTCAGGAATTCGAGACCAGCCTGGCCAACATGGTGAAACCCCGTCTCTACTAAAAATACGAAACTTAGCCAGGCATAGTGGTGGGTGCCTGTAATCCCAGCTACTCAGGAGGCTGAGGCAGGAGGATCTTCTGAACCTGGGAGGCTGATGTTGCAGTGAGCCAAGATCACACCATTGCACTCCATCTTTAGACAGGGTGAGACTGTCTAAAAAAAAGAAAAGTTAAAGCCCCTGCTCTCCAAAAAAATAAAAGTTTATCAAAGCAGAAGCTCAGGGGGAATGTAATGTGGAGAACGCCTCCATTTAGGGAGTGGGGTGTCCTGGCAAGGTCTGAGATCTAGCCTGATCTTGCAAATACCTTCTCTACAACCAGCTCCCATGCTGGGTACCTCTAACAATAGGATTCTGAGTACTAAGACAGATGAAGAGAAAGACGCATTTGGGGCAGAAAGATGACTTTCCAGAGCTTCTAGAATGGTGTCCCAGAGATAACAGCTTCCTCCAGTCCAGTCCCTGTGGACACAGCAAACAGGCCAGCACCGGTGTGTCAGCTACCAACCTTTAACGGAGACTTCACTGGCATCAAAGCAACGAACCAAGAAAGTGGAGTGGAAAAGGGCCAGAACTGGTTTCTCCTCCTGGTTAGCCCTCTAACTCACTAAGGACCCTGGGTCTAGTCCCTAGCGCCGGACTTCCGTTTGTCCATCTTGGTTTTTTTCCTTTCTTTCTTTTTTTTTTTTTTTTTTGAGACGGAGTCTCGCCTCTATTGCCCAGGTTGGAATGCAGTGGCGCTATCTCAGCTCACTGCAACCTCCACCTCCCAGGTTCAAGCAATTCTCCTGCCTCAGCCTCCTGAGTAGCTGGGACTACAGGCGCCCGCCACCACGCCTGGGTAATTTTTTGTATTTTTTTTAGTAGAGACAGGGTTTCACCGTGTTAGCCAGGATGGTCTCGATCTCCTGACCTCGTTATCCACCCGCCTCGGCCTCCCAAAGTGCTGGGATTACAGGCGTGAGCCACTGCACCCGGCTCAGTTTGTCCATTTTAACATGGAGGTGCTGGGTTTCCCAGATCATTCTGAAAGTTGACCCTTTGAGTATTGTCTTTTCATTTTTTGCCATATCCCCATTCCGCCTATACTATTATTAATTTAATACCTTTCTCTGAATTTTCTCATTTTTAAATTAAATTCACTTTAGGAGGAAATCTGTATAAAACCAACATGAATTTAAAAACTCTTTCATTCTCAGTAAATAAAGGACAACCTGAAAATTAAACAAATTAAGTTCTCCCAAGGTAGCCTGAGAACGCCACAATCTTCCCTCTCTTTGTTAAAAGATTAGCATGTGCAAGAGAGGCGTTAAAGACACACTAGAACCACTGTGAGACCTCCTTCTTCCTTCTTCCTTCCATACTAGGAGAATTGAAACGGGAATGATGTTCTTACTACCGAGATGAGCGTCTGTTCTGTTCTACTGGGTACCGTACTCACTACTTGAGTGCAATATGCCCATGTGACAAATCTGCACGTGTTCCCCCTGCATCTAAACAAAATTTGAGAGGAAAATAAAATAAATATAAATATGCATTTAAAAAAAAAAAAAGAAATCAGTGTCACTAAATGCACATTGGTGGGAAAGCACCAATTTAAAATCACCCAGCAACTCGCCAGCCCACGCTTTGGAAACACTGGATAAATGATTGCAGGACTCATTCCACCTCTGCCCTGCTGCAATCTAGTTACCGCGGAGGTAGCGGAGCCCTGTGATGAGGGTACCGGGGGCAGGGGTCTGCCTGCTGCTGCCTAACTCAGTCTCAAAGTTTTAACCATGATGCATCGTCCTGTGTTTTCCAGCCCTGCTTCCCAACATGATCTCCCGGAGAACAGGCCAAATCGTGTTAGTGAATAATATCCAAGGGAAGTTTGGAATCCCGTTCCGTACGACTTGTAAGTTGCTAAGATAAAAATATGATATCTTCTGTTGTATGTCTTATGGTATAAGGCAAGAGCTGTTATGTCTAAGACTAGGCAGATGGTCACAGGGGAAAGGGTCCAAGGATGACACCATCTGCTGGATTTTCTTTCATCCCTATGGTTCCTATTTTTTTGAGCACCTACAGCATGCAAGTGGCTATGGGAGATGCTGAGATATTAAAGATACGCTCCTTCTGTCCGCGAAGCTCACAGTCTCCCATGGGGGCAGGACATGCACTAGGTGAACCTGACAATGCCAGGTGAAGGTCACGCTCCTGAGAAAGATGCACAGTCGTAGCTCCAATGCCCCTTCCTCCACAAAGATGCCCTTGAAAGTCAAGGAAGATTACCATTGGGAAAGAGAAGGGTGGGTGCACATCACAAAATGGGAGGGCAGTGGAGACCTTCTGAGGAAGAAACCAGGAAAAACAGAAAGGGGCAGAATTCAGGGTGGGGGCAGCTCCAAATATGAGCGTCCTTTCAAAAGTTCAAGGGGGAGAAGGACTCCTAGGTGTATGTTCCTGGGATCTAGCTGGAAAAATTCTGGAGCCATTTCCACATCTGATGAGCTAGTTCTAAGAGGTGGGGAACGTGCCATATACATTTATTCGTGGCCCACACTACCATGTGCAAATTAGGGGCTCAGTAAATGTTTGATGGGTACAAGGGTGGAAGGGAAGAAGGGAGGGAAAAAAATAGTAGGTTCCTATATGAATTTGCTCAGGCTGCCGTAACAAAATACCAAGTCTGGGGCTTACACAACAGAAATTTGTTTTTTTATTCTGGAGGCTGGAAGTCCATGATCAAAGTGTCGGCAGGGCTGGTTTCCTCTGGGACCCTTCTCCCTGGCTTGCAGACAGCTGCCTTCTTGCTGTGTCCCCACACAGTCTTTCCTCTGTGCACGTGCATGTCTGTTGCCTCCCTATGTGTCCAAATTTCCTCTTCTTTTCTTTTTCTTTTTTTGAGACAGAATCTCACTCTGTTGCCCAGGCTGGAGTGCAATGGCAAGGTCTTGGCTCACTGCAACCTCCACCTCCCAGGATCAAGAGATTCTTCTGCCTCAGCCTCCTGAGTAGCTGGGACTACAGGCACACGCCACCACACCCAGCTAATTTTTGTATTTTTTAGTAGGGACGGGGTTTCCCCATATTGGCCAGGCTGATCTCGAACTCCTGACCTCTGGTGATTCACCCGCCTTGACCTCCCAAAGTGCTGGGATTACAGGCGTGAGCCACCATGCCCGGCCCCAAATTTCCTCTTCTTACAATAGCACCAGTCAGATTAGAGTAGGACGCAGCCTAATGCCCTCATTTTATATTAATCACCTCTTTAAATATCTCTAAATACCGTCACATTCTGAGTACTGGGTATTGGGTTTCAGCATATAAATTTTCGGAGGCTGATAACAGAATTCAACCCATAACACCCGCTCTAGTAGTGTTTTACCTTCCTTTTTCCATATGCCTTAGTTAGTTTAGGCCTGTGGTGCTGTGAGCCTGTGATGTGGGAAAACTTGATTACTCCTCCATGTAGTAACCTCAATGGGAATGGCTCAGGCAAGCAGATGCCACCATGCCACAGGGTCACTGAGGGGCCCAGGGTCATGCTAAGTCATTCCATCAACAACATCTTCCGTGTGGTCACCACTGGGTCCCTGCTGGCAAGAAGAGGAAAGAGACTGTGGAGGAGCCGTGCTCAATGTCCAAAGCCCCAGGCTGGCATTGGACATCCCATTGTCCCCAGGCTGGCATCACCGCTGCTCACATCCTATTGGGAGAACTCAGTCGCACCTAAGTGCAAGGGACGCTGGGAAGTGCAGTCCACCTGGGGGCCCAGGAAGAAGGGCAGAGTGAATGGGCCACATACAGCAGTCTTTGCCACATCCTGCCTTTTCCTCTCTTCCCCAGTCCACTTAGGAATCTCCCCACTGCTCCTTGTATTTTTAAACTTTCTGTCTGTTATTTTCAGCAGCTGGGTGACTTTTCATCTTCCTTGCTTCATGCCTTCATTCATTCAACAAAGTGTTTGAATGCCTAAAGCCAAGTGATGGGAACACAGAGGTGACATAATATAATGAGACATGGGCATGACAATGGGCGCTTTGGCCACTGACCCGTATAGGACAAATGCACGAGTTTCCTGGGAACATTTGCAAAACACAGTATTGGGGACTCAGAATTCTCTCAAGGCTGTCTCCACCCCCATCAGTCATGGTCTGGCTTCTCTGAAGCTGAGGAATTGAGGGGCACAGAGTTTCCCATGTAAATGTCAGAACTGAAGCCATGCCACCCTGGACTGGCCCCAAATTCTCTTCTTCCTCTGAATCCGGCTTTGGAAAGACACAAGGAGCTGGCGTGGGAGTGACCTGGGGTCTGCCGACTCAGAGGTTTCTTTTGACCACCCAAAAGGAATTCAGTGTCCCTGAGCACCCCAGCACAGTTCCCTTACCATCCACCCAGGCAAGGAGATGGGGGCTCTGAGGCTCAGAACCTGGCACACAGACTTGAAAGGGAAGGCAGCCTGCCATGTGTCCCTCCTGCTGCAGGCACACATCTCTTTCCTGCATTAACCATGCCACATGGGGCCGGGCACAGTGGCTCATACCTGCAATCCCAGCACTTTGGAAGGCCAAGGCGGGTAGATCACTTGAGGTCAGGAGTTTGAGACCAGCCTGGCCAACATGGTGAAACCCATCTCTACTAAAAATACAAAAATTAGCCAGGCATGATGGTGTGTACCCATAATCTCAGTTACTCGGGAGGCTAAGGCTGGAGAATTGCTTGAGCCCGGGAGGCAGAGATTGCAGTGAGCTGAGATTGAGCCACTGTACTCCAGCCCGGACAACAGAGCAAGACTCCCTCTCAAAACAAAACAAAACAAAAAACACCACATGGAAAGTTACCTGTCCACGTGTCTGCCCCACTGATGAAATGAGGACTCCATGAGGCCAGAGCTACTTCTATTCACCTCTGGGTCCCCAGCTTCTCACCCACCAGAGCAGGGACTTCACTGTTGAATGACTGAAGGAATCAAGGAGATGGTGGATGAATGAAAAACAAGCTGGTAGACCTTTTTTTGGTAACACTTGTATTGGCTGTGTAATTCACATACCGCACAATGTATCCGTTTAAAGTGCATGGTTTTGCTGGGCGTGGTGGCTCACGCCTGTAATCCCAGCACTTTGGGAGGCCAAGACAGGCAGATCACCTGAGGTCAGGAGTTCAAGACCAGCCTGGCCAACATGGCGAAGCCCCATTTCTACTAAAAATACAAAAACTGGCTGGGCATGGTGGCGTGCCTGTAAACCCAGCTACTCAGGAGGCTGAGGCAGGAGAACTGCTTGAAACTGGGAGGTGGAGCTTGCAGTGAGCCGAGATCGCACCACTGCACTCCAGCCTGGGCAACAGAGTGAGACGCCGTCTCAAAAAAAAAAAAAAAAAAAAAAAGGCCTCATTGCAGAGAACTAGAAGCTTGCTAGTCATGATGTCAGGGGAACCAGGAAAGGGTTCTGGTTGAAGGCATCTGGGCACAGTGGCAGGAACCACAGTACATCCACCTTCTGCCCCTTCTGCCTCTGACTGACACCCCTAAAATGTGAAGTTGGGGTGCATCACACCCCAGATGTGGCTCTAACTTCCCAAAGCTCTAAGCAATGTCCACTCTATTCTTTTTGGAACTCCTGGAATGATCCTTTTTTCCCCAACCCATGGCTTCTACGATTTGAACTGGATTTGGTGAGTGGATTACCTGGACGGGCTCTCCGAGGAAAAGGGAAACAGGAAGGGAGAGGGGATATCTGTGATTCAGGCTCACTGCAGCCACCAGCTGGCCCCGGACCTTGGACAAGTTTCTTAGGCATCAGCCTTCCCAGGAAGGAAGGGGAATTCATGTTTGTGCCGGCATTCTGTATGTTTTCTCATTTGATCTTCACAGTAATTTGCCAAGGGAAATAGCGCCCCCATTTTAAAGATAAGAAAACTGAGCCTCAGAGAGGCAAAGTGATTTGCCCACAATCACATCACACCACCAGCAAGTGGCTAAGCTGCATTCAGTTCCAGCTCTATGTCCACCACTCCCGAGGGCTCTCTGTCCTCATTTGTAAAGTGAGGGGCAGATTCTTGAGGATCTTCCCAGCTCTGCGCCTGTAGGAAATGTGTCTGTCGGCCCTCCTGCCTCCAATGCGCCCACCAGGAAGCAGGGCCGGGAGTGTCCTGCGCCCACCTCCGGATGGTTTGTCTCGCAGACGCTGCCTCCAAGCACGCAGCCCTGGGCTTCTTTGACTGCCTCCGAGCCGAAGTGGAGGAATACGATGTTGTCATCAGCACCGTGAGCCCGACTTTCATCCGGTCGTACCACGTGTATCCAGAGCAAGGAAACTGGGAAGCTTCCATTTGGAAATGTGAGACTTCAGAGGGAAGCTGGGGCCCCTGGGGGCCTCGGGAACAGTCCGGTGTCACTGGGGGGATGAATGACCTTCAGATGGGTACTCCTGAAACATGAGTCTGGGGATGGGGGTGGAGGAGGCTCAGCAACCCCCAACAGCAGGGCGGGGCCCCCAAACCTTTAGGCCTGAGGCACCCGGTAGACAGAATCCTCACTGCAGCCTACAGCCCATGCGCCCGCTAAGCTCAGCCACTCAGCTTCCTCTGCCACCTCGGCAAGCAACTGCCTATCTCTGGGCCTTTTTCCCAGATGTCATGGCCTGGATTCGGGGTTAAAGAACTTTCCCGCTCCCCCTTTCCCTTGCACAGAGTGGAGGCCGAGAGTCTAAAGCCAGGCCACCTGCACTGGAAGCCGGCCTCTGCCATGTATTAGAGGGTTGGATATGAGCAAATCCCTTAATCATTTCGTGCCTCCCTAAGAGATAGGTATTGCTATTATTATTATTTTCATTTTAGAAAACGAGGGATAATAGCAATACCTATCTCTTAGGGTTGTTGGAAGGACTGAAGGTTCTGGAATAGCAACCAGCCCCTCTATCAATCAGTGCACCTTATTATGGCCACTGCTCTAGGATGCTCTAAGCGTAGAGGCGCTACACCTTGCCCAAGGCTCTAGGCCCACCTTGAGGAACCGAGATGATCCAAGATGGGGGGCAGACCAGGGGTTCCAGGATGCTCCTGACAAGCACAGCTTCACGACAGTTACAAACAACAGTCCCTTAATCCACCTGGCACCTTCTTAGATCCTAACCTCTTTTGCATCCCTTCCCCCACACGTAACCGCCCTCCGAAATTATCAGGGCAGGAAACCAGGTCCATCCTATAGACGAAGACGCAGAAGGAAGCGCAGAGAGTGGAGTGTCTCCCGCTGGTCGCCGCGGTCCGCGGGTGGCGGAGGGGGCCTGGAACCTGTGACTCCGGGGACAGCCCACGCTTCCCGCCCCTCAGCCTTTGTGCATGTGCAGGGCTCTGACCAGCCGGGTCCCCACGGAGGTCATAACCCCCGCCCCCAACTGGGGCCTTTCAGTCTTTTTCAGGAAGCTGACCTACGGCGTGCACCCAGTAGAGGTGGCGGAGGAGGTGATGCGCACCGTGCGGAGGAAGAAGCAAGAGGTGTTTATGGCCAACCCCATCCCCAAGGCCGCCGTGTACGTCCGCACCTTCTTCCCGGAGTTCTTTTTCGCCGTGGTGGCCTGTGGGGTGAAGGAGAAGCTCAATGTCCCGGAGGAGGGGTAACTGCAGGAGGCCAAATGGGCCACCCCTTGGAAATAAAGGTTTTTCTGGCAGGTGCTGGCGCTTCTGTCCTATGCTCCACACTGGGGCGCCCTGCAGCCACACCCCTCACCTGTCTGAGGTCTTCCCGTGACAGTGAGGATAGCCTGGAGCCAGCCCAGAAGCTACGGAGCCTGGGGTTCTCCACATTCCCAGGACACACTTCCAGAAGCTTCCCTGCTCTGTAGGGTGACTACTCAGCAGGAAACAGGAGCTGCAATGCCTGTAACCCCCACATACACACACTCACACTGTATGCGTATGTGCTCAGGCACTCAGTCTGAAAACCACCTCCACTGTATACAAGGGTGACCTGGCCACGTCACCTCCACCCACGAGAGCAGGACTTGACGACCCTTTAGAGCAGTGCTGCAAGGATGGAAATATTCTATAATATGCATTGTCCAACATGGCAGCACTGGCCACATGTGGCTGCCGGGCACTTGAAACACGGAGCCCTGTGTCTGAGACACTGAATTTTTAATGCTATTTATTTATAATTAATTTAAACTTAAACAGCCATGTGTGGCTAGCAGCTCTAGAGTTGGGGGTGTATGAGAATCAGCCCATCTTCCAGACTGATTTCATTGGCCTCAGTCCCCTCCCAACCCCACCCCCAGCTCTCCCCTGCACCTCCACCCCCACCATCCCCACCCACACAGCCAAGCTGGAATTTTAGCTTCCACGTTGCTTCTAACAAATGCTGAGAACCTCTGCCCAAGTATCCACCTCATTTCAGCCTTTCCTTCAATTCTCAAAGCAAAAAGCATTTAAAACGCCATCCTCTCCTTGGAGGTGGGCACTTCGTGTAGTCTCCTTTTTCTTATACAAAACAGTAAATGAGGCCGGGTGCGGTGGCTCACGCCTGTAATCCCAGCGCTTTGGGAGGCCAAGACTAGCAGATCACCTGAGGTCAGGGGTTCGAGACCAGCCTGGCCAACATAGGGAAACCCCGTCTCTACTAAAAATACAAAAATTCACTGAGTGTGGTGGCGTGCACCTATAATCCCAGTTACTCGGGAGGCTGAGGCAGGAGAATCTCTTGAACCCAGAAGGTGGAGGTTGCAGTGAGCCAGGATCACACCACTGCCACTGCACTGCAGCCTGGGCGACGGAGCGAGACTCTGTCTCAAAAAAAGAAAAAACAAACAACAAACAAAAAACAGTAAATGAATCTTGGGCACTCAGAAAGCATAGGGTACCTTTTTGCACTAATATTGTAACAACTCAAGCTTGTCTAATATTTATAGATGAAAGAGGGCAAAAATTTCTTCCCTGAATCTAAATCATTTACAAAATGACATATATAGGGTACACATATGCACATCTATAAATCTTTTTTTTTTAGACGGAGTCTCCCTCTGTCCCCCAGGCTGGAGTGCAGTGGCGCGGTCTCGGCTCACTGCAACCTCCGCCTCCTGGGTTCACGCCATTCTTCTGCCTCAGACTCCCAAGTAGCTAGGACTACAGGTGCCCGCCACCACGCCTGGCTAATTTTTGTATTTTTAGTAGAGACAGGGTTTCACCATGTTGGCCAGGATGATCTCGATCTCTTGACCTCACGATCCGCCCGCCTCAGCCTCCCAAACTGCTGGGATTACAGGCATGATCCACCGCGCCTGGCCTGCACATCTATAAATCTTAATTTAAAAAGAAAAATGTCCAGGGTCACTGATCACCTGGAGCTCAGCCTACTCCAGGACAAGGCTGGTGGTCCCGTCCTGCTACCGTGGAGGCAGGATGTCGGGTCAGAACTCAGGGGCTCACCGAAGCAGCAGGCAAGGCAGGCCTGGAGCCTGCAAGGGAACTGTCTTGTGAGAGGTTGTTGTTAGTGGGGGGAGGGCATACTGGGGTGCTCAGGCCGAAGCCAACAGAGGGTGGGTAGGAGCCGCAATTGCGAAGGGAGAGGGCTGAAACTTGATTGGTGACCAGAGAGTAGGGATGGCAGCTTTGGGACAGAAGCAGCTGGAGCCAGGGTCACAGCAGCCAATCCTGGGACCCACCAAGGGTGGGCTGCCAGCAGAATGTGGCCACGACCCAGATCCACGCTGTAGGGTCCTTACCTGTTCCCTTTAGGGCTCTGCCTGGTCACAGGTGAGTTCCAGGCCAAGAACCCCCCAAGGGGATGGGGGGCAGGAAGGGATTGTGTCTGGAATCGTCCACACTGGCGCTGAAAGCCACATTCTGGGAGAGTGAGGACTCTGAGGCAGGGTGACAGCAGACACCTGAGATTCCCCAAAAGAAGCCACGTGGAGCAACGGCCCACGAAGGACTCTCCGGTTTAAGTGGCTCTGCTCCACTGTTCCCCTGCCAACTGGCGGAGCATACCCCAGAGCAGAGGGAGGTCAGAGACTTGCGGGTGGACCTGGCCAGTCTACCTGGTGGGCAGCCTAAGCGCCCTGCAGTGAAATTTCCTGTCTATGGGCCTTGGCCTCCCTCTGACTAAATGCTCCCTAGTGATTTCAGATGTCCCTGTGCCCACTCAGGCCCTGACGTGCTCTCAGGATGGGGTGTCTCATTGGCCTATGAATGAAAAACCACAATCTTTATCTTGAAACATAGTGGGGGTAAAAATAAATAAATAAATAAATAAATAAATAAGTGTCATGCAATATAAAAAATAGCCACAAGGGAGCACTGTATCTCCAAACCAATTTTATAGCTCATCTCTCCAGGAAACCCTTCGGCACAGCAGTAGTAACTCACCTAATTATATTCACAATTTCCAATGGGCCTCCCGTTGCGAGATTCCATTAGATCTTCGCATCAGCCTTAATTCATTGGAAGGGCTGACAGACCCATTTCACAGATGAGAAAACTGAAGGTGATTATGTTCTATGAGCCACAGCTGCTCTGGGCAGAACAAAGGCAGTTAGCTCCTGGGACCCAGGAGGAGTGGCATCTAGGCCCCAGTAACTGCCCCAGACCTTAAAGGGACTGCCCCAAGACACTGCAAGGCGTGAAGCAGTCCTCACACTCCACATAGAGAGAAATACAGGTGGTTTTCTCCTCCCACCCCCAACCACACATATCTACAAAATGTTTAAAATGAAAAAATGTGGGTAACCTAAAGAAGCAGAGAGACAAAGCAATCAGATGCCCTGACAACCACTGTTAACATCTGGGCTCTTCTCTGAGGAGACCACAACTTTTATTTATTTTTTTTTTTTTGAGACAGTTTCACTCTTGTTGCCCAGGCTGGAGTGCAGTGGCACGATCTCGGCTCACTGCAACCTCTGCCTCCTGGGTGCTAGTGATTGTCCTGCCTCAGCCTCCCAAGTAGCTGGGACTACAGGTGCCCACCACCACACCCAGCTAATTTTTTTTATTTAGTTGAGTCGGGGTTTCTCCATGTTGGCCAGGCTGGTCTCAATCTCCTGGCCTCAGGTGATCCACCCGCCTCGGCCTCCCAAAGTGCTGGGATTACAGGCATGAGCCACTGCCCCCGGCCGGATACCAGAATCTTTACAGAGAGAACACTTCTTGGAGCCTCAGGGGCCATCCTAGGTGTGGTTGCAAGAAGACCACACAGATAAAGACACACAGCTGGGCATAGCCACAGCCAGCGCCTGGGACAGTCTCTGCCCCTCCAGATGCTGTGAGCGCTCCATCTCAGTGCTGGCACTTGTGGCTGCTGCAACAGGTGCCCTTGTCTGTTGGCTGCTGACTGGGCTCAGCCACTGGGGACTGGCTGGCAGGGAGAGACTGAAGTTACAGTGTTTAGCACCCCAGCTGTCTCCTGCCGGGCTGCAGTGTCTTGATTGCAACCTGCCACTGAACCACTGGTTACCCTCGGGAGCCAATCCTGCCCTTTGCCCCTTGGAGCCTAGGTGCATTCATGGCTCCTGGCTGCTGCTGGCCCTGGGAGCTTCTTCGTCCTTTGTTGGAATTCTTTAATCCTGACCACACCTCTGTGATGCCCCTTCATTAAATGATCCCTAATCACCCGGTGTTATAGGTTGAATTCTGTCTCTCCTATAAAAAGTATGATTTTCTAACCCCCAGTACCTTAGAACGTGACCTTATCTGGAAATAGGGGCTTTGCAGACGTAACTAGTTAACATGGGGCGATACTGGAGTAAGGTGCATCCCTATAAGAAGGTGGCTGTGTGGAGACAGAGTCACCCAGGGAATGTGTCCTGTGATGATGGAGGCAGAGATAGGAGTGATGCAGCTGTGAGCTCAGGAACACCAAAGCCTGCCGGGAAAACACCAGGCACTGGGAAGGAAGGGGTCAGGAAGTGATCTTCCTACAGGTTCCAGAGGGAGCAGGGCCCTGCTGACATCTGGATTTCAGACTTCCAGCCTCCAGGGCTGTGAGGCAATAGGTTTCTGTTATTTCAAGCAACCCAATTTGTGGCAATTTGTTACAGTAGCCCTAGAACACTAATAGACGCCATCAAATTCTAGCCTGGGCCTTGACCGACGCAGCTAATCCCCAGAAGAAATTTGCGAGACTCCCTTGGGGAAATTCAGGAACCACGGGAAATGACCCATTCCTTCAAGGAGACATAAGCATCATTCAGCGTGCTCTTAGCCCAGAGAAATGACTGGCTCTGTAAGTTATCAGGGAACTGAGCAGCTCTAATCGAAGGACCTTACTGTTCTCAAATTGCTAGTAGGAATTTCAGGCACCCAAATGGAACCCCCCCACCAGGGTTAAACTATTATCTCCAGAATATTCCAAGCACCTCTGTGCAGGGACGTGTGTCTGACAACACATGAGCAGAAGATTTGGCTCTCAGGGCAGGGCTCACGGGACAGAAACGTTTTCTGCAGTAAAAGGGTCAGACACTCCAAGAGCCTGGTATACTGAGGGAGAATAGTCTAATCAGTGTGGTGGACCAAACCCGTGCAGGAAGATGGACCCTGAACCCTGGGGCCCAGCACCAACTGCCCAGCTAAGAAAGATCCCACCAACGCATGCCTGTAATCCCAGCTACTAGGGAGGCTGAGGCAGGAGAATCACTTGAACCCAGGAGGCAGAGTTTGCAGTGAGCTGAGATTGTCCCACTGCACTCCAGCCTGGATGACAGAGTGAGACTCTGTCAAAAGAAAGAAAGAAAGAAAGAGAGAGAGAGAGAGAGAGAGGAAGGAAGGAAGGGAGGAAGGAAGGAAGGAAAGAAGAAAGGAAGGAAAGAAGGAAGGAAGGCAGGCCCCATCAACTGTCAGCCCTACCTCCCCACCCCTTCCTGGAAGTGGCTGGTCTTCCCTGACTTGGGATCCCTTCCAAGAGGGAATCAATAGGTTGGTGGAAACACACCAAGACCCAATAGAAGTGGACTGTGGGCCACCTGCTTGTCCCTGGCCTCACACTTGCTACCTCCCCAGCTCCTGCAGCTGAGCATATAGTCCTCAGGAAGTCAAATGCTATATCAGCTATGACTTTGGAGGTTATAGGCAACAGGAACCCAACTCAAGCATTTATTCACCCAAGTAACCAGAAATTCTTATTTTGGTCAGAGTCAGGCCTCCAAGAGGTGCCACGAGGATTCGGTCATTTTTTACCATCTTTCAGCAATATATTCCACCACGTGGGCTTCACGCTCAGCAGATATTTCCATCATCATGATGAGATGGACTGCACAGCTCCAGGTGCATGTTCCAGCTACTTAGAAGCTACGTAGAAAGAGATTTCTCTTTCCCAATAGTTTATACTAAAGTCCTGACACCTTTGGGTATGTGGCCCTTTTGAAACAACCACCACGTGTCTGATTGCCCAGGTGCTCCACTCCTAGGGAAGGAGGGGTGGGGCAGCCATGTCTGAACAAGAACAGAGTGGAGAAGTGGTGGTTTCCCAAGAGAAAATGAAGATGCTCTTCCAAGAAGAAAAGGAGAGCATATATTTTGCAGGCAAAGCAATCTTTCTTCCAAAATGCATATCCCTGGAGAAGGGAAGAGCTAACACACACTGATACAACCCATCTGCTCCCTTACTAGAGTCTCTCACTCATTGCCTTATGCAATGCTCCCAGCAAGCCTCCAAGATAAATATGAGCTCCATTTCTACCTATCAGGAAAACAGAGGCTAAGAAAGCTGAGTAGGTCATTCAGTCAAACTGCATAGCTGGTCAAGCGCAGAGCTGAGACTTGTGGGTGGTAATGGCTGGACCACTTGCAGACAGAGAAGATCAATAACCTGCCAGTGTTTTCCATGTTAGAACTGGGTGGGGTTTCCAAGGGTAGGGTCAGATCAGGCATCCCCTTCCTGGTGTGCCCTGGTTGACAGTGGTAACTGGGGAAGCCTTAGGTTGCTTAAAGTTAACATTAGTTGCAAAAATAAGTCAAGGAGCTTCCATCAGGAAGGCTGAGCTGGGGCAGGCGAGTTTGGTCTGGACTAGAGAGTGTTCTGTTGGCATCAAGGGGAATGCCTAGGTATATAAACAATAGAGGAGTCTGTAAGACTTTGCAGATGCTTTTGGTGCCTGGTGATACAATCCCCTCTCCATCCACAATTTCAGCTGCAGTGATGGTGGAAGGAAGGCTCCCATGCATGCTGACAGCATTCTACCTCATCTCTCCACTTTTCTGTCTTGGGGCTTTCTCTAAAGCAGGAGAATGCCTGCAGTCCTTACAGGTACCGTCCAACGTTGCAGAAGAGTTCACATCCCCAGGGACTACCTTCAACCAACAAGGGACAGAAGTTGGTAGACAATGCCCAACTCTCCCACCCTTTAAAAGGACAAGTCTGAGGCACATTCAATATGGCACCTCAAGGGTCTGCAGCAGCTTTGAGCCCAGCTGGGTGACCAGCCCACTAAAGCACACTTGATTGGCTTTTTTCCTTCCCTGTCTCATTCTTCCAGCTCCCTTGCTTCTCTTTCCTGGACGCCACCTTCCCCATAACTACCTCCTCCCAGTCCTTGTCTCAGGTTCTGCTTTCAGGGAACCCCCAACTAAGATTGAAGACTTTTTGGAGGTGGCCTCATTTGAGATGGACGAGCAGCATGTTAGGGATCCATAGTTTGCAAGAAACAGAAATTTGTTCAAACTCATTAATGTAAAAAGGTAGTTTGTTAAAAGAATGAAGGAAAGTATCTCAAAAAATAAAGCACTGGGGTTCCTGGAAATTGGAATATTTTGGGGGAGCACTTCTCCATCCTCCTCGCTTCTCTCTCACCTTCTACAGGGTCCGTTGTCTGATTCTGTACATATCTGCTTCATTTTTCTCTTCCCTTTGCAGGCTGTCATTCTTGATTTACTCAGGGTTTCTGTCCAAACAGCTATGGCTTGCACATGGCCTTGACTTGCTGAGATGTCAAGTCTAACCCTAAGTCTATGGAATCTCAGAGCTTGATTCCCAGAGCAAGCTTGCTCAGTCTCTCAAATGGCCCTCCTCAATCCCCACCCATTCCAAATTTCTGCGGGGTGGGGGGAACTGGCCCAATTTGAATTAAAGTTTCTCTCCCCCCACCAGTTCAATCACCTCTCAGGCTGCCCCCTTTTGAGTCATGTGGGTGAGGCTGGACCCCTAAGGGCTGAAAGGAGAGAAAACAATGAATAGCCAAGGAAGTGGACAGAGCCAAGCTTCGGAGACTCACATGTGTGAGAGCAATCAGAAGGGCAAGAGCTGAGCTGGGAGTGGTGTCAGGAGGCTGTTGCAAAATAATTCAGGCGACTGACAGAGCGTCAAGTGGAGCAAAAGGGAGAGACAGATGGAAGTGACGCAGGGAGAGTGTAACTGACAAGATTTGGCAACTGATAGGAGTGAGGAGTCAGAAAGAAAGGTCAGAGATGACTGGAAGGTTTTACTGGGAAGATGAGAGGGTCAGCCATGGAGGAGAAGATGCAGAAGTTTGTGATACACTGAGTTTGAGGCAGGCTATCAAAACAGTCTGTGTTCACCTGAATCAAATCCATCTGCATCGCTAGGTGAAAGATGTTTGGGTCATTCTTTTGTTCTGCATAATGAGGTATGGTTGTTTATCTGGGATTAAATTCGGATCAAATTGAATTGAATTTCACATCCAAATTTACCTAGGCATCTAAGGCTTTGTAGAAGCGAAGTGAAATGTAACAATAGACTGCAGTGATGACAAAAGACAATTTAATTAAATAGAAAATTATCTCCAGCTTAGCTGTAGCCATTCATAAAGGAAAGGAGGATAGATTAATAACTCTTGGACACAAATAAATGGCCCCAAATTAAAACTTGCAAAATTAAAGATACAGACAGAACAGAGCAAATTTAAAGTATGTGAGGTTCAAAAATAAGCACATTTAATCAATATACTATTTTGGGATAAACAGATATGCGATGAAACTCTAAAGAAAAACAAGGGAGGGATTAACAGAAACCGGGAAAACGGTTACCTCTATGATGGACGGGAGCGGGGAGGTGACCGAGGAGAGCCACTGGCTCTGGGTCTTGTTAAGTGGGTAAAATTGGTGTTTGCCTTTGGGAGGCCAACGGGGGCGGATCACGAGGTCAAGAGATTGAGACCACCCTGGCCAACATGGTGAAACCCCGTCTCTATTAAAAATACAAAAATTAGCTGGGTGTGGTGGCATGCCCCTGTAGTCCCAGCTTCCCAGGAGGCTGAGGCAGGAGAATTGTTTGAACCCGGGAGGCAGAGGTTGCAGTGAGCTGAGATCGCGCCACTGCACTCCAGCCTGGTGACAGAGCAAGACTCTGTCTCAAAAAACAACAGCAACAACAACAAAAACCTGGTATTCCTTAAGTTTAGTAGTGGGTTCACAAGTGATCTTTTATTATTCTTTAAGCCATTTGCACACATGATGTACACTTTCATATTTATGACATATTTATAATTTCCTAGGGGCTCCATCAGGTCTGCCTCATCCTATGTATCTTCAGTAAGGACATGCTCATTTTAGATATTGATATATTTCAAGGGGTTACCTACGAAATAACCTGAGGTGTGCATAAATATCCTCCACCTTTGATCTGTCTACAATGTAGACCATTTAGTCGTGCCAGGCCAACTACGTGTTCTTGCTCCACTGAGAATGTTTCAAATGCTTTGAAAGAAAGCTGTTAAAAAACTTGATTTGGCTAAAAATTTACACTAATCTCTAGCAACTAAAAGGCCATGCCTCCCTACAGGTTCTAGAACCTTCTTTCAGATCAGCCACAAAATTTCACCCTTCCTCCCTTCAGAGTCAGCTCTTCACCCACCAGTTCTGTCTACTAAGTCCTTCCTGCTTCTCTGAACTCCCCAGAGACTCAACACGTTCCTGGAAATTTAAACTGAAGGCCAGTAAGGCAAAATCTAGCCACTCGTGTCACATCCTGAGTGCACACGGACTGTTTTAAGGGCTTGATCTGTATTTTCAGCATTTTCTGGAGGAAATGGAAAATGAAGGGCAGGGTGGTCTGTGCCGACATCCTCACTGGCCTCTCCTCGGTCAGAACTCCTGCTGCCATGCTTCTGCGACACCCCAGAATGACATGCTCAACTCTCCTTGACTCCTTCCATGAAAATATAAAAACTGTCCACCTAGGAAAATTATGCCTTTCCATTTCTCTGCTGTATATAATAGGACACTCTCTCTCTCTCTCTCTACATTATATATATATGTGTGTGTGTAGGTGTATATATACTTACTTAATAAAGAATATATTATATATAAAATATATAAATATAATATATAAGCATATCTATATATTATTTAATTAATATTATTTTTATATTAAGTAAATAAATATAAATATATTATATGAAAATATATGTTATATATAATATAAATAAATGCATATTATTTAAAATATATACTATTATATAATATACAAATATATTGATATATTATATATTTATGTATAATATATAAATATATTGATATATATTTATGTATAATATACAAATATATTGATATATTTATGTATAATATATAAATATATTGATATATATGTATGTATAATATATAAATATATTGATATATATGTATGTATAATATACAAATATATTGATATATATGTATGTATAATATACAAATATATTGATATATATGTATGTATAATATACAAATATATTGATATATATGTATGTATAATATACAAATATATTGATATATATGTATGTATAATATACAAATATATTGATATATATGTATGTATAATATACAAATATATTGATATATATGTATGTATAATATACAAATATATTGATATATATGTATGTATAATATACAAATATATTGATATATATGTATGTATAATATACAAATATATTGATATATATGTATGTATAATATACAAATATATTGATATATATGTATGTATAATATATAAATATATTGATATATATGTATGTATAATATATAAATATATTGATATATATTATATATTTATGTAAAATATATTTAATTAATATTAAATATATAAATGTGTATATAAATAAATAAATAAATAAATATAGATATAGATATTTGATGACTTCAGAACTTTTAGATCACATCTTGCCAAAGTCTTCCAGGGTCCCTAGGCTCTGCTTCCACATCTCAGCGCTTCTGCAGAGGTGTGCTCACCCACCAGAAAGCCAGGGTCCCAGCTGTCTTCCTCCAGACCCCAGGGTAGGTGCTCCCCAAAGGAGACCTGACTCCTCTCATGTCCAGCTCTGCAACTCATGGTATGTACTCTGCAGCTTCCTGAGAGCATTCAGGTTCCTTCCCTGTTGACAAACTTTCCAGCATCCATAGAGGCAACTGAGGACACTTAGGGGCCTTCCTTCCAGCTCGGGAAAAAGGAGGATGAGTAAATAACAGACATCACATCGGGGGGAAAAATGCCATCGTTGGTATTTTTTTAAATTGAGCTATTTCTTGTATACAGTAAAGCACACAAACTGTACATATAGAGCTCAGTGGAATTGTACATGTGTATGCACCCATGTAACCACCATGCAGATCAAGTGATGGAACTTTCTGTCACCTCAGAATGTTTCCTCATACCTAGTCAACCTCTACCCTCAGAAGTAACCACCAGTTTGACATCAATCACCCATAGGTCATTTTTAGCTGTTCTTGGATTTTGTGTAAGTGGAATCATAGAGTACATGCTTTTTTAGTGCTTGGCTTTCGTCACTTACACAATTTCTACATGAGTCATTCAGGTTGTACCAGTGGTTTGTATTTTTTTGTTTTTTGTTTTTCTGAGAGGTGTTCCATGGTATGAATATTTCACAACTTGTTTACTTCTAGGGATATTTTCTATTGACCTGTAGTTGTATTTATTCGTCGTGTCTTCTGCCGTGTCCATTCTACTGTTAAAAACTATCTCCTCAGTTCCTTAATGCTTTTTTTTTTTTTGAGATGGGGTCTCGCTCTGTCGCCCAGGCTGGAGTGCAATGGAGCAATCTCGGCTCACTGCAACCTCTGCCTCCTGGGTTCAAGCCACCACACCCAGCTAATTTGTTTGTATTTTTAGTAGAGACAGGGTTTCACCGTGTTAGCCAGGATGGTCTCGATCTCCTGACCTTGTGATCTGCCCGCCTCAGCCTCCCAAAGTCCTGGGATTACAGGCGTGAGCCACCGCGCCCGGTCCATCTTCATAGAAATTTCTAATAGTCAGTGCTGGTCTAGACTGAAGGAAAAATAATCAGAACTAAAATGATCATTGTTACACCAACCTAAGGGTAGACTAGGTTGGTTTGCTACCTTAATCTGACAAATGTTAGCCCCTTTGATAGATGCAGCAATCACTTATTTTTAAAACACAAACTTTTTTATTATATAAGTAATATGTGGCTCAATATAGAATCATATGAAAAAGCGGGAAAGCATAAAGAAGAAAAAAAATTCCCTTAGCCTACCTACCCATTCTTAACATTTTTTAGTCAATCCTTCCAATCTGGTCTTTCAAAAAATTTATATTTCAATAATAATAGAAATCATATTCTACCTACTATTTTGTAACCTGCTTTTGTTTACCTGAAATTATATCATAAACATTTTTCCAATTATTAGCTCATCACTCTCCTAGATGAATTCCTAGATGTATCAATTCTGGGCCATGAATATATTAAAGCCTTTTGCCACATAATACAAATTTATTGTATAGCAAAATTCATTTATTTTCACTCCCACTAGTAAATTATTAAAACGCTGGTCATGCCCTGCACTTTCCCAGCGTTAGATAATTTCATTACTTTTAAGCTTAGCCAGTTTGAAATGTTATCACTCATTCCAAACTTTTTTGTGGGCTAGGCGCGGTGGCTCACGCCTATAATCCCAACAGTTTGGGAGGCTGAGGCGGGCAGATGACTTGAAATCAGAAGTTCGAGACCAGCCTGGGCAACATGGTGAAACCCCGTCTCCACTAAAAATACAAAAATTAGCCGGGCGTGGTGGCGCATGCTTGTAATCCCAGCTACTTGAGAGGCTGAGGTGGGAGAATCGCTTGAACCCAGGAGGCAGAGGTTGCAGTGAGCCAAGATCGCACCACTGCACTCCAGTCTGGGCAACGGAGAGAAACTCTGTCTAAAAAAAAAAGAAAACTTTTTTGTGTTTCGTGCTGTTTATGTTTCTTCTATGAATTTTCTGTTCATGCTCTTTTCTATTTTACTATTTACCTTTTATCTGTAAACTACAGTTCATACGTTAACTGCTTATTAGCTATATATGTCATAAATGTCTTCCTTAGCTTGCTTCTGATGTAGAGAAAATTTAAAATTTGTATGCAATCCAAACTTGGCTCTTCTTATTATAGTTCTTCCTTTGCTTTTTTTTTTTTTTTTTTTTTTTGAGACAGAGTCTCGCTTTGTCGACCAGGCTGGACTGCAGTGGCGAGATCTTGGCTCACTGCAAGCTCTGCCTCCTGGGTTCATACCATTCTCTTGCCTCAGCCTCCCGAGTAGCTGGGACTACAGGCGTCCACCACCACGCCCGGCTAATTTTTTTGTATTTTTAGTGGAGACGAGGTTTCACCGTGTTAGCCAGGATGGTCTCCATCTCCTGACCTCGTGATCCGCCCACCTCGGCCTCCCAAAGTGCTGGGATTACAGGCGTGAGCCACTGCGCCCGGCTGCTTTTTCTGTTAAAAAGACTTCCCCAGTTATTTAAGTCACTATATTTTTTCCAGTTCTTTTATGATTCAATTTTTAGAAACAATTATTTTGACATAAGTTATTTGGTCTCCAATCTATCTTAGCATGTTTTTGAAGATGAATTAATTTGAGAAAATCTCATTAAAACATTATTTGTCCATGTAGAGTCTTCTTAACACCTAATTAGCGCTCCTTTGATGGGCAATTCATGTGCAAATAAAAGCATGTCTGTAATTTCGGGCTGTAGGCTAGCAAGGCAGCTACTGAGGATTAGAAGAGATTAAATAAAGAAATTATAAGAGGCAGACCACAATGGCTGGGTGCAGTGGCTCATGCATGTAACCTCAGCACTTTGGGAGACCTGACCTGAGGTCAGGAGTTTGAGACCAGCCTGGCCAACATGGTGAAACCCCATCTCTACTAAAAATACAAGTTAGACGGGTGTGGTGGCACCCGCCTGTCAACCCAGCTGCTCGGGAGGCTGAAACAGGAGAATCACTAGAAAGCAGGAGGCGGAGATTGCAGTGAGCTGAGATCGCGCCACTGCAATCCAGCCTGGGCGACAGAGCAAGACTCCATCTCAAAAAAAAAAAAAAAATGCAGATCACGAAAGCAGTAAGAATTACTGCAAGTGTTTCATTAGCCCTTTCTTCTGGTATATGTTGTATATATGATATATGCTGGATGCTAAAATTTTACATACCCCTTCTCTCTGCTGAAGCTCCTACCTTCCTTCTGTAGGGCAACACAAAAAGTAAGACCCCAATACGCCTCAGGCACTCTCCAAAGATGAGTGAGAAGTGGAGGCAGCTAGCTGGCCAATGAGATTCTGATGGGAGGCGCTGTTAATAATCAGCCCTTTGACCGGGCCGTGGTGGCTTACGCCTGTAATCTCAGCACTTTGGGAGGCCGAGGTGGGCGAATCACGAGATCAGGAGTTTGAGATCAGCCTGACCAACATGGTGAAAACCCATCTCTACTAAAAATACCAAAAAATTAGCCTGTAATCCCGGCTACCTGGGAGGCTGAGGCAGGAGAATCTCTTGAACCTCGGAGGCAGAGGTTGTAGTGAGCTGAGATCGCGCCACTGCACTCCAGCCCAGGCGACAGTGCGAGACTCCGTCTCAAAAATAAAACAAAATAAAATAAAATAAATAATCGGCCCTTTGATTCTGGAACAAGAAAAGATGCAAAGCTATGACTCAGTTAAAGAAAATAACATACACCACATGGCATCCTTATCTCTGAGCACCTTCAGAGAAAGCAAAGACCACATAGTCTCCCAAATGGTCATGGTCCTATAGAGGTGGGGACTCAGCTGGGCGCAGTGGCTCATGCCTGTAATTCCAGCACTTTGGGAGGCCAAGGCGGGCAGATCACCTGAGGTCAGGAGTTTGAGACTTGCCTGGCCAACATGACGAAACTCTATCTCTACTAAAAATACAAAAAAATTAGCCGGACGTGGTGGGTGCCTGTAATTCCAGCTAGTAGGGAGGCTGAGGCAGGAGAATTGCTTGAACCTACAAGGTGGAGGTTGCAGTGAGTCGAGATCACGCCACTGCACCCCAGCCTGGGTGACAGAGTGAGACACTCCGTCAAAAAAATAAAAAATAAAAAAATAAGGGGTTGGGGACTCAAGCTCAGCCCTGACATAGATCTTTTCATCCAAGTTCCAGCCAACTTCCTATGGCTAGAATTGTATGTCACATCATTTGTTTGTATTACAAATATAATTGAGAGATTATTTCAGTATGAAATATTCATCATCTCTTATGTTGATAAAGAACCTCATTATTTTGGAAAAATTTTATACACACTGTGAGAAGACCACTGAACTAGATAAATGTCCAAAAGTCTGAAGCTGGGGCTATCGAGCTATTGCTGGAGGAGACTCTAGGAGATCATTTAATTCCTATTTCCTAGTCCCTTTTATGCCACGACAGGCTCCCTGAACATTAGTCACTCCGTGCTCTGGGCCGCAGTCTACCCATCTATCTGTGTTATAGTGCTATGCCCCCTTTTATTCTCCCTTCACTTCTCCCATGCCCATCATTATTACCACTTGGTTTGAAGAGGATCGCATCTGCTGAGAGCACAAAGGTGGAAACTCAAACCACCCAATATGACAATTGCGGTACTGGAAGTATGGATCCCCCAACGCAGGGGCACTGCTGACTCTATGTCAAGGTCTAGGGAGGCAAACACAGAGGATGAAGCAGTGAAGGATGAGCAAATACACTTCAAAGAGTACCAGATATCAAAATAACAGAGTACTTGGTTCCATGTAGAATAAGGAAGTGGTGGCCGGGTGCGGTGGCTCATGCCTGTAATCCCAGCACTTTGGAAGGCTGAGGCGGGAGGATCACAAGGTCAGGAGTTCGAGACCGGCCTGACCAACATGGTGAAACCCCATCTCTACTAAAAAAATACAAAAATTCCCTGGGTGTGGTGGCAGGCCCCTGTAGTCCCAGCTACTCAGGAGGCTAAGGCAGGAGAATCGCTTTAACCTGGGACGCAGAGGTTGCAGTGAGCCAAGATCGCACCACCGCACTCCAGCCTAGGCAACAGAGTGAGATACCTTCTCAAAAAAAAAAAAAAAAAAAAAAAAAAGGGAATAAGGAAGTGGCTGAAAGATGATTATGTTCTCCACATTCAGACAGATCTAGTCCAGTTTAGAGGGTGTCTCAAATGAGAGCCTATTTTCACAGGAAATGAGGACATGAATAGCGAAAGAAAAAGTTGTCGAGAGATGATGCGTTTGACTTTTGCTGGGGTTTTTAAAACACATATTTGGAGATCATTATAAACAGGAGAGGTATGGACGGCAGATAAATAATTCTCAAATCATATGAAACTTGCTTAAGTAACTAATTTACAACGCTGAGAAAGGCTTAGTCATCCACTTAAAAAATTAATTAAGTTAATCAGTGAGCACATATCCTGGACTTGGCAGGCCAAGCTTTGTTCAAAGGTAACTAATGGCACAGAGAGCACCTCAAGTCCAAATGAGTACAAGCTGCAGGAGAGCATTTACGAGGTGTTATGGATTAAATGGTGTTTCCCTACAATGTTTATGTGTTGAAGGCATAAGCCCTAGTTCCTCAGAATGTGATCTATTTGGAGATAGGGCCTTTAAAGAGATGAGTAATTTAAAATGCAGTCACTAGGGTGGGCTCTAATCCAACCTGACTGGTGTCCTTATAAGAAGAGGAGGAAACAGCAAGGATGAGCGTGCACAGAGGAAAGGCCACGTAAGGACATAGCAAGAAGGCTGCCATCTGCAAGCCAAGGAGAGAGGCCTCCAGAGAAGCTGAACCTGCTGACACCTTGATCTTGGACTTCCAGCCTCCAGAACTGTGAGAAAAATTCATTTCTGTTGCTTAAGCCACCCCAGTCTGTGGCATTTTGCTATGGCAGCCCTAGCACACTAATGCAGAGGGTAGAACTGACCTGGGCTTGGAGCATCCTGAGAAGAGACCATCCAGCTAAAACTACTCGGATGAAGGTGTTGGTTAAGAAGTCCAGTAGCTATTCAACCCTTGCTTTATTTGGTGTTCTTTATGAAAGGTTTAATTTTTTAAAGTGGATGACTAAGCCTTTCTCAGCATTGTAAATTAGTTACTTAAGCAAGTTTCATGTGATTTAAGAATTATTTATCTGCCATCCATACATCTCCTGTTTATAATGATCTCCAAATATTTAATTCTTTTAATTCATTTATCTTTATTAAGGTGTGTGTGTGTGTGTGTGTGTGTGTGTGTGTGTGTGTGTGTTTAAGAATCAGAATTCTGACTCAAAGGACTGTGGAGCTTGTACATAAGCATCCACCATAGTTTTGTTGTCATAAAATGTCAGGTAAGGCAAGAACCTTGTGAGGAAATAAAAAGATTCTTTAGAACTGGTCTGATGCTTAAGAATGTAAAATTTATAACCCAACAATACATTCTCACATCTTGATGCTAACAGTAACTCTGCAATTGTGTTGCTCTCACCCTAAAGAATTTTCGACAGCATTTGTGTTAACAAAACAAAACATTCTTCCATCTCTATCCTTTCCCACTCCTTAATGGATGGATGGATGGATGGATGGATGGATGGATGGATGGATAGGCAGATAGACAGATATATAGGTGGATGGATAGATAAATAGATAGATGATAGATAGATAGATAGATAGATAGATAGATAGATGTTAGATAGACGATAGGTAGAACCCAGGTCCTCTCTTGTCCTCCCATCCATATCTTTGGGTAAAAGCACCTGTTTGTTGCCGAATGAGTCCTGGATGCCAAAATGGGTGTTGTTCAGAATGTTTCCACTTACCTTTCCCTTGGGCCCAGGAAGAATCTTCAGTCTAAAGAATGAAAAGAAAAGACCCATAAGAACAGGTCTTCCAAGGAAACGAGGCAGCTCTGGGAACACCTTTTCTCTCAGGATCCTAAGGCAAGACCTATTCAGCCCTCAGCAAGCCTGTCTACCTCTAGCTCTCCGTCTGCAAAAATGCCCCCTGCCCCTGAGCTATGAGAGAAAGGACTCCTTCAAGATGTTGTTGAGAGGAGAGGGCAGGGATATGGAACTGGGATGGATTCCACATGCAGATGTGCTGGGAAAGACAGCAGATCCAGTTGCTTCAGGAAGAAAATCAAGACTTTGTCCAGGTGCCCCTTGGCCAAGACAGAAACTCCCCTCAATCAGGGGACCCACTTACCTCCAAGGAATGGTGAGGCCATTCCTGTCCCCTGAGTCAAACCTGTATTGCCTCTCCACTGGACAATCCAAAAACAAGAAACAAACAGACAAATTCATCCCTGTGCGCTCTCTGAAAGAAGAAATATGAGCCCAGAGGAGGGTAAAAATAAATACCCACTTGAGGAAAATATTCCCCCAATTCGAGCATTCAGAAGCATGCCCCAAACACTGGGACGCCTAAGGTAAACTTACTTAAAACAGAATGTTAGTGACTTTTTAAAATAAAATGTGCAATACGCTTTTCTTCAAACTTCAAGTATCTTTCTAGCTAAATGAGGTAACTCTATGTTTAAAGTCAGGAGGGGCATCTGTTAAGACACTACTGAGTGTTACCGAAGGAAAAGTTCTGTATTTTATTATACTCGTGTGTATATTTATTATCTATTTTTTAAATTTTTTTTATTATACTTTAAGTTCTAGGGTACATGTTCACAATGTGCAGGTTTGTTACATATGCATACATGTGCCATGTTGGTGTGCTGCACCCATCAACTTGACATTTTAAATAATACTTGATTATATATTTATTACTTTTTTTTTTTGAGACAGAGTGTGGCTGTGTCACCCAGGCTGGAGTGCAGCTGCACGATCTTGGCTCACTGCAACCTCTGCCTCCAAGGTTCAAGCAATTCTCCTGCGTCAGCCTCCCGAGTAACAGGGGCTACAGGTGCCCACCACCAAGCCCAGCTAATTTTTTGGTATTTTTAGTAGAGATGTGGTTTCACCGTGTTAGCCAGGATGGTCTCGATCTCCTGACCTCGTGATCCACCCGCCTCAGCCTCCCTAAGTGCTAGGATTACAGGCGTGAGCCACCGTGCCCGGCCATATAGTTATTACTTTTATGAAAAGTCCTGTATTTATTGTACTGTTCCCATATTAATATTTGGACCCTTTGATGGTCTAATGAGATCGTCATGACCTTCACCTTTATCCGAACCCTTATCCTGCTTAATTATTCACCTCCTGACATAATCAAATGTGAAGAGGTTTGGCAAGGCATGCGACAATATATAAGCAAGATTCATAATTCCATTAATGGTTCTTACTACCGTAGCAGTGATGCCAGCTACACACACCTGTTCAGGAGCACTGATGGGGATGATGCACCTGCAAGAATTTGCATAGAGATGAGGCCCTTCCATGCACGAGGAAGTATATGGGGGCAGCCACCAACAAGGGCAGTCTTGCTCATGGGCACCTGTGAGGCCTCTCCCTAGAGACCACCAGAAATACTTTAGAAGCACACTGTAGAAATTTTCAGCATTGTGAGAGCCGCTGGAATTTGCGTGATTTTCATTGATGTTGCATTTCTGCCCACAGGTCAGTAAGGCCTTGAGAAGGTTGAGTTATGCTATCAATTCATTTTTACTTCTGTTACTGTGGAGCTATATCATCCATGCCTTTAATGTGTACACATAAAATTTATGAGAAATCAATTATAGTGGATTGGCAAAATATATAATAAAATGATAAAACAATGGGTGTGTGCTGATACCGCCTGTTGGAATACTTTGTGGGATATTTGAAGGGTTTTCCAACTTTGAGAAAGAACCAAAAGACGTTTTTCATGTGGCCGAACTCATAGGTAATACTAGCTAAAAAGATATCCTTACAGGTGAAATGGAATTAAATAAAGGCTGTTGAGAAACTCTGACTAAAGATGTCTTAGAGGAACGAATATAAGCATCTTAGTTTTGGATGGAACACATTTAATGTTCCATAGTAACACTACATAGGGTATCCTGCCCTTCACGTGTGATCTACAGTCACTTCCAGAGCAGTTTTGACTGATTTGCAAACATAATCCCCATATAACATGCAATGCCGGCTGGGCGCGGTGGCTCATGCCTGTAATCCCAGCACTTTGGGAGGCTGAGGCGGGCAGGTCATGCGTTCAGGAGATCGAGACCATCCTGGCCAACGTGGTGAAACCAGGTCTCTACTAAAAATACAAAAATTCGCCAGGCGTGGTGGCATATGCCTGTAATCCCAACTACTCGGGAGGCTGAGGCAGGAGAATCGCTTGAACCCGGGAGGCAGAAGTTGCAGCGAGCCGGGATCACGCCACCACATTCCAGCCTGGGCGATGGAGCGAGACTCCGTCTCAAAAAAAAAAAAGAACAGCTCTGAGAGCTCTGGCTGTACTTTACTCCCTGATTCCACTTGGCACTTGAACATGGTGCTCATTATGATTATTAGATTCACACTGATACAGGACTTCTCATATGAAAAGGTAGATTGGTCTATTTTCACATTCACTTCTCTGCATCATGGGGAGGCAGAGAAATCAAACATTAATCCAGCCTAAAGAGGTTAAAAGTCACTTAACTAGTAAATAGCCCACTCAAGAGCTCTGATTTCTAATCTAGGCTCTCTTCTCCCCAATTAATACACTCTCTATATAGAAAATTCCAATAAGCATACTTTTCATGGCACTGTGATAATTTAGCCCATGTTGATGAGGAGCTTACAGTCCAAAGTTAAAACAAGTTAGATAAACATCTCAATATATTTTAACTGTACGAGGCTGCATGCTGGATATACCAGATATACATAGAAACCTAAATGTATAACAGTATGTAGGCTTTCACCAGTTAAAAGGAAATGACCAGAAGGGGACTTGGTTAGGTCATGGAAGAAGATCAGAAGGGATGGGAGAGATGGATGGGGCACTGGAGGATTCAGAGAACTGTAGAACTGGAAGGGAATGTAGCAAGAGGGCAGTTCTGTTTTATAGATGAACAACTCAAGGGCTAAAGAGGAAAAAAAATGACATGCTGAGCTAAATCTGTCGAGTAGATGAAAGGGAAGTGGTTGGGCTGGAAAAAGCAGGATGCAAGCCATCGAATGAATGGTTCTGTCTAAAACCGCGTGGGAAACAAGGAGGACTAGAGAAAAAAATGAGTCTAGAAGTGAATGAGGTAAGGGGGGATGGGTGGGAAAATGGCAGACTCACTGAGGGTGATGGTCACTGTTTCTGTGTTGATGGCTGCCAGCAACTGTGTCCTTCCACGGGAGTCAGGAGCATTCAGCGGACATCTGTTTCTGGCGTGACCTCTGGAACCAGAGTCTTCTCCTCCTCCGCTGTCTGACAGTCCCCAGTTTCTGCTTCCTGTCCACTCCTTTGATTGAGTTGTTTTTATCCTGACCCGCATTAATCAGCCTGTTGCCTTGGATCCTTCCCTTGCATATCCTATCTTTATCGTTTGTCTTTCCTTCCTGCCTGAAAATCCTGGAGGAGTCGAAACTTATAAAAAAATATTTGAATTAGAGGCTCTTCATGTTGCCAAATAAGGTCCCAATGCCTTAGCTAAGCGCTTGGCCATTGACTGGCCCAAATACACCAGCTTTGTTCCATTCCACTGCCCAGTACATATTCTACACCCTTATCAAAAGACACGATTTCCCCTAAACAATCCCACCCTTTCATAGCTTCATGTCTTCACTCCACCCAGAGTGTCCTCTGCTATAATCCTCAGCTGTTGGAATCCAGGATTTTAGAGATAAGCACAAATAGTAGATATCCATTTTGCTCTTGCCTGCCCAGCATTCATTTCCCTCTGACTTTTCTACAGGAAACACATCTTTCTTCCTCTTAGTTATGTTGTCTGCATGTCACCGATCCTACTCCTAAATCCAGTAGTGAACCCATCACTCAGACCCAGCATTTCAGCATATTACTCTTGGTCACAGTGTTGAAAACAAAAAAGGGGGGTGGGGGTCATAGGAATTGTCTCAGGCTCATCAATGCCAATCTCAGGACTTTGACTAAAATTTTAAGAAAAATAACCACAACTTTTTCCTTTGGGGTGGCTAATTTGGCAGGAGTAAGCCTAAGCAAAAGGAGAAATTTAAAGATGTAACTAGGGCATTGGACTTGCTTTTGCCCTGAGAATATGTGCTGATCCTAGGTCTTCAGTTTTCATGACTTTTGGAGCATGAGAAGCAGAAAACAAACCCCAGAAACCCCCAAATAGGCAGGCATATTGTGGTAGACTAGATTATGCAGTCATATTGTGATAGACTAAATTATTATTCACAAATATTAACTTTCTCCCTGTAGTAGGATTGTAAATCCATGCCCTTTGCCATGGAACTTTGGGATGCCATCCAGTAAATGAATGGGGGTAAACAACTCTGTCTTTCTAATTTGAGCTTTGGGCAACTGATTTGCTTGGATCAATGTCCGGTGCAGCCTGCTGTGGCTGACCTGTAGATCCATGAACAAGAAATAAATGACAACTTCACAATCAAAAATAAGCCCACAATAAAAAATATAACAAGTCATGGTAAGTGAGAAACAATAGACAATAGAAACACAAAGTAGAAAACAATGGTGCTTAGTATGTTTTAAAAAGTAAAAGATAAGTCTAACAATGTCTTTAGTGGATAATAAACTATAAGTGACTATTATAACTAAAAAACAAAAACTTCTAGTAATAAAATAAAACAACAAAGAAAACCCACAATAGGCTTAAGCAGAAAATATTACATAGCTAATTAGCAGACTATTAGACAGGTCATAAGAAATTATCCAGAAAATAGCCCAGAAAGGCAAGGAGATGGAAAATATAAAAGAGAATTTAAGAGGCATTGTGTAAGTTTCAACATATTTCTTTCTTTCTTTTTTTTTTTTTAGATGGAGTCTAGGTCTGTCGCCCAGACTGAAGTGCAGTGGCATGATCTCAGCTCACTGCAACCTCTGCCTCCCAGGTTCAAGCAGTTCTCCTGCCACAGCCTCCCGAGTAGCTGGGATTACAGGCATGCGCCATCATGCCCGGCTGATTTTTGTATTTTTAGTAAAGATGGGGTTTCACCATGTTGGCCAGGCTGGTATCAAACTCCTGACCTTGGGTTATCTGCCTACCTCAGCCTCCCAAATTGCTGGGATTACAGACGTGAGCCACCACACCTAGCCTCCAAAATATTTCTAATTGGCGTTCCAAAAAAGAGAATAGATAGACGCAATGGGGCAGAGGCAATATCGGAAAACATAAATCCTGAAGAATGAGCAATTCTAGATGTTCCATCAAATAGCAAATAACTAAGAATAAACACAATAAAATAAAAGGGCTCTATACAGTAAACTACAAATGTTATTGAGAGAAATTTTTAAAGACCTAAATAGCTGGAAGGCTATGTTTGTGGATTAGAAGACTGAATATTATAATGATGGCAACTCTCCCCAAACCAATCTATAGATCAAATAAAATCCCAATCAGTATCCTAGCAAGTGTATGTGTATGTGTGTATAAATTAACTAACTAATTCTAAAATGTATTTAGAATTAGAAAGATCCAGGAGTAGCCAAAATAATTTTTTTACAAAAGGAAGTAGTTTGTTAAGATTTGTGTCCTGCACCAGTTAAATCTAACCTCTGATAGAAAAATATAATATGTAAAATAAAATGTTAAAGTAAACACTAGGATATAAATAAGACATAAATTTTTAAACTATTATTGAAGAAGAAACAAAGGAAATTTGATCTGATCAATAATAAGAGGCAGAAAGGAAGCAAAAATAAGTCCAAACTATCAGTAATCACAATAAATGAGATGGCGTTAAATTTACCATTAAAAGATGGAGATCATCTGATTTACGTTTAAGAAAAAATTCATCTGTATGGTATCTACAAAAGACACACCTTAAAAAATGGAATATTGAAAGATACGCTTGTCAAATGCTAACAAAAAGAACACAGATGTAACAAAATAATGAGCAAAATAAAAATTTAAGTAAAATGAAGATATTTTATAGTGACAAAATACAAACAAAATAGACAAATCAGGCATCTGATAATGTTTTTAAACATATAAAGCAAAAACATAACGAAATACAGTGGAGAAATCATAATAATATAGAATAATAGTCTTCTCAAAAATCAATAGATCAAGTAAAAAATAGTAAAGTGTTATGAGTTTTTGATTAATCAATAAATTTGATCTAATAGTTATTTATAAAACTTGTGCCCACAGAATACACATTTAAACATACTTTAAACATAAAAAGTAACATGATCATTTCACTATAAAAAATGGAAAAATTAACATTTATTCCTAATTTAAGAAAATATTAGCCAAAGGTCTCAACTTCTTAAAGGAACATAAAGGAAGGATATTTACAACACATATCATTCCTAAAAGGTAAAACACTAAAGTCACAAACTAGACATGGATGTTAGCTTTCATCACCACAAATGAGTCAATACTCTTGGTCATAACTAGTGTAGAGAAACAAGAAAATTAGAAGTACAGACACTTAAAAGGAAGAGACAAAGTTAGTATTAATAAGAGAATCAATTATTTCTAAAAAATGAATAACAAAGTCAAGTTGACCAGACACAAGATCCAATTAAAACAACAACGACAACAACAAAAAAAAAACAGCCGGGCATGGTGACTCACACCTGTAATCCCAGCACTTTGGGAGGCCAAGGCAGGTGGATCACTTGAGCTCTGGAGTTTGAGACCAGCCTGGGCAACATGAGGAAACCCCATCTCTATGAAAAATACAAAAATTAGCCAGGTGTGGTGGCTCATGACTGTAGTCCCAGCTACATGGGAGACTGAGGTAGGAAAATCGCTTGAGCCCAGGAGATGGAGGTTGCAGTGAGCCAAGATCGCGCCACCGCATTCCAGCCCGGGAGACAGAGTGAGACTCTGTCATGCACATACAAAAAAAGCCATTTGAAAATGTAATAGAGAAAAAGATTCCATTTCCAATGGCAATGAAAACTATCAAATATGTGGGAATAAATAATAAAAGTCATGTGCAAGAACTAGGTGAAGAAAAGAAATACAGAAGGACATAAATAATTTGCTCATTCATGAAAACTTGAATTAAAGAAGAGCAGAACCATTTCCGTTGCTCCCGTGTTTAAAACAAAACCAAAAAATGGGATAAAATGAAATGCCCATCAATGGGGTTAAGTAATCCTTGCTACCTGTAGTACTACAGAATACGAAGCATCAGTTTTTCTTAAAATTTTAAAGTCCAAGATTGGCACTGATGAACCTGAGACAATTCCGATGACCTCCCACCTCCCCCCGCTTTTTTTTTCAACGCTGTGGCCAAGAGCAATATACTGAAATGCTGGGTCTGAGTGATGGGTTCACTGCTGGATTCAGGAGTGGGATCAGTGACATGCAGACATATGACTAAAAGGAAGAAAGATGTGCTTCCTGTAGAAATATCAGAGGGAAAAGGAAGAGGTATATCCATAAAAGACTATATGAAAACATCTCCAAGTTATAAAAGCAAATTGTAAAAAAAAAAAATGCATCATGTTCTCAGTTATGTATAAACATACATACAAATGAAAATTACATTTTTCTTTATTCAAGAGGAATGCACAAAGAAAATATGGAAATTTGGAAGGAAACACTCCAAACTGGTAATAGTGACTTCTGGGAAGGTTATTGGGATTCTGACTATATTGTGCACATGGCATTATTTCTTCTTTCAACTCTTCCATATATTTGAAATTTTTTACTATGGTCATACATTGGTTAATAGTTAATAAAAAGCAGTAAACATTTCATATAGAATATAGGGCGTTTTCTCTTCTTTTGCAAGGATATTCACTTGTTTAGGAAACCAAGAGGCCATTTCAGACTCAAAATTTATCTGGTCTATGAGGAAAATACTAAGAGGTGGTCCCGTCTGTTTTTGTGTTTACAAAACAACATCATTACTTTGCATACCAACATGTAAGATATTCTTTCCCCCATCTCTGTGTCTATGTTCATTTTCTTTGTTGCCCACTACTTCTGAGTCAACTTTCAGCCAATATGGCAGGCTGAATTCAATTAAAGGACTTCTTCCTCTGATTCCAGAAATAAAATAAAACAACAAAATTTTTAAGATATAGGAAAGCTCAAAATTAAGAAAGGGATCTCTTCAGGTGTCAGTAAAAAAGGAGAATTTCAGTCAGACCAGTGAACAGATGCCAAACAGCACAAAGGACTATTGGAACTGATCACTGGTTGGGCGTTTGGTCCCTGCAGAGCTAAAGGAGTATTATCTCTGGAAGACTGGAGGACGGGGCACAGAAGTTGAGCTACCTACAGAAAGATGAGACCCCGTAAGAGATGCCCATTCATCTACAAAGTAAGAATGAGAAAAATTTACTTGTGCCAGGTATCAATGTATTGCCTTCTAATTTATGCTTCACTGTCGGCTCTATGAAAATTGATCTGGGCCCTGGCCGGGCGTGGTGGCTCACGCCTGTAATCCCAGCACTTTGGGAGGCCGAGGTGGGCGGATCACAGGGTCAGGAGTTCAAGACCAGCCTGGCCAACATAGTGAAACCCCATCTCTACAAAAAAAAAATACAAAAAATAAACCAGGCGTGGTGGCGGGTGCCTGTAATCACAGCTACTTAGGAGGCTGAGGCAGGAGAATCGCTTGAACTCGGGAGGTGGTGGTTGCAGTGAGCCAAGATTATGCCATTGCACTCCAGCCCAGGCAATAGTGTGAGACTCTGTCAAAAAAAAAAAAAAAAAAAAAAAAAAAAAAAAAAAAAGAAAGAAAAGAAAATTGATCTGAGCCCTTTAGATATTTTTCCATTTCCAGATAGTATGATGTCAAGTTTTGTCAGTAGAGGGCGCCAGAGAGGGATTTCAGCCTGGGTGCTGGAGTGCTTCTCTCAGCAAGCCCCTGCCGCACAGGCAGGGCTTCCCCAGTGCCCAGCTCCTGCAGCAGAGGCAGCATGTCCAACAGCAGGCTCCCTTAATGCAGGTGGCTTTTCCAATATCCAGCTTGTGCGGTGCATGGCAGCCAGCAGCTTCCCCAGCAACCCCCTTGGAGTACTGTATTGGAGTGCCTCCTGGGAGAAACCTCCTTTGAATAGCTTCCCCTACAACATCCTGGAAGGCAGATTTCCCGCCTTCCAGGGTGCAGTACCACTCAACTTGTCTCCAACCAGTGGCCATAGATTGGCACCCCAGTCGTGGGGATGTAGGGTCTCATTCCTGAATACTCTATCTGAGCCCCTAGAGGTATATCTGCTATTCCCACATTCTTTTTTTTTTTTAAGAGATGGAGTTTCACTCTTTTCGCCCAGGCTGGAGTGCAATGGTGAGATCTCGGCTCACTGCAACCTCCACCTCCAGGGTTCAAGCGATTCTCCTGCCTCAGCCTCCTGAGTAGCTGGGATTACAAGTGCGTGCCTCTACTACGGGGTTTTACCATGTTGGCCAGGCTGATCTTGAACGCCTGACCTCAAATGATCCACCCACCTCAGCCTCCCAAAGTGCTGGGATTACAAGTGTGTGCCACTGCGTCCGACCCTCCCACATTGTTTAGAATTCTCTTTACTTATTATGAGCCAATTCCTCAATAATCTGTTATAGTGTTGTTATGCTGTAACATGTTGTAATTAATAAGGTATATTTATATTAAGCTTGTTCAAATTACTGTGTGGTTTCTGTCTCCTAATTGGACTCTGACTGCTACTTATAGCACCAACATCAGGGACTGAGTAAAGGAGTGGAAAGAAAACAGTCTCACCTTCCTCTGTGCCAGTCTGGTTCCCAGCAGAAAATCCAACATCCACACAAAGAGGAGAAAGTCAAAGAGTGTTCTTCTTCCCTTCCTCTTTGAGATCCAGGGTCCTGGCAAGGAAAACACATCATAGCTGAATTGAAGAGCTCTCTGGGTTTTAAGATAAAATTAAGTCCTTCCCAAGTTCTCCTCATCATAGAAGAATTTCCTCTGCAGGTGCCTTATGTCCCAACCGAAACACTCACTTTTGTTCTACATTCTTCCTGAGTCTTCCCTTAAGATTTACAATGCTCTCTTTGATTAGAAGGTTATAGACATAATAAAAATGAACATTTATTGAACACTTTTATATGTTTGGCACTATTGTGAATATTCCCAATGAGTGTAATCCTCATCACAGTTCAGCGAGGTAGGTTGCCTCATCAAGCTCATTTTATAGATGAGCAATTTTCCAAATCCTGCATTTAGTAAACAGTGGATCTGGTCATCAAATCCAGAAAGTGTGACTCCAGAGCCTTAACCACTTCCCAGTACAATCAAACAATTGTCCGAGCTAGAAGATCCTCTTTCTACATATGCCATGTAATGAAAATAAGACACAGGGGGATGAGGTGACTTGCTCAAAGTCACTGCAATGAGCACGTGTCTGGGACAAAAACTCACCTCCCAGTCCTTGGTTGATCTCTCTCGAGTAGCCGCCCAGTCCCCTCAGTGCTGTTCTAAGCCCTGTAACCTTTGTTTAACCTCTCACATGAGGTTATCATAAGCCATTTACCTAATAGAAGCCCTACTCCGAGATTCTTTTATCTTTAGAAGAATCCTGAAGGAATGCTTCTTGTGTTTCACAGGGCTTTCGTCAGGAGGCGGCTTGCCCTGTTTCAGGTGTGGATGCGGATGTCTGGTTTTCCCCCAGGCTGGTGAAGAGCCTTGTGTTGACGGTGTCTTGCCCAGCGTCCTCAGTCCCTGAAAGGAAAATGAAGATACCAGGTCACCTACAAGAGATTGTCAGCCGGGCGTGGTGGCTCACGCCTGTAATCCTAGCACTTTGGGAGGCCAAGGTGGGCGGATCACAAGGTCAGGAGTTTGAGACCAGCCTGGCCAATATGGTGAAACCCCATCTCTACTAAAAATACAAAAACTAGCCGGGCGTGGTGGCACGTGCCTGTAATCTCAGCTACTCTGGAGGCTGAGGCAGGAGAATCACTTGAACCTGGGAGGTGGAGTTTGCAGTGAGCCGAGATTGCGCCATTCCACTCCAGCCTGGGCAACAGAGTGAGACTCCATCTCAAAAAAAAAAAAAGGTTGTCGTGGAGAATATGTTGTCTAAGGGACAGCACATGAGAGAATGGGAATGTCAAACCCAAGGAGACACATGCCATTCTGAAAACGTTATCATTGATACTCAGCTCAAGTGCTTCATTCATGGCAAACATCGGAGAAAATTACAAGGCTAATAACACACTCCAGTAGTCGGCATCTGCAAAAGGGCAGGCCACATCCTGAGGACGCTCCCTCTACATTCGCCCACTAGCCACTCTCTTTCTCCAATAAAAGATATCTTTAAATATGTAAATTCCTTCACACCAGAACATAATTTAATGTAACAAGACAAAGTTTTTCTCCTAGAAGATATATAAAGAATGATGTTCAGGACACTGTTTCTTTTTAGGACATTTTTGTTTTCAATGGCAAAAGCTTAGAAACAATCTATGGCCAGGCACGGTGACTCACGCCTGTAATCCCAGCATTTTGGAAGGCCAAAGTGAGAGGATCCCTTGAGACCTGGGGTTCAAGACCAGCCTGGGCAACAAAGTGAGACCCCCCCATCCCTACAAAAAAATTTTTTTTTAAATTAGCCAGGTATGGTGGTGCATGCCTATAGTCTCAGCTACTCAGGAGGCTGAAGTGGGAGGATTGCTTGAGCCTGGGACGTCAAGGTTGCGATGAGCCGAGATCATGCCACCACACTCCAGCCTGGGCAACAGAGTTCAACCCTGTGTCCGAAAAAAAAAAAATCTACATGCTCCTGAATTGGGGGACAAACTATGGTTCATTTGCATTAAGAAGTTATAAGCAACATTTGAAAAGAATCTATAGGGCCAATCTATAGAGATCTGGGAAAAGCTCCAAAATTTTAAGTTGGAAAAGAAAGCAAGTAGCAAAACAATAACTTTAGTATGGTGGTACGTAACTAAAAACCAATTAGGCCAGGCACGGTGGCTCACACCTGTAATCCCAGCACTTTGGGAAGCCAAGGAGTTCAAGGAGGTCAGGAGTTCGAGACCATCCTGGCTAACACGGTGAAACCCCATCTCTACTAAAAATACAAAACATTAGCCAGGCATGGTGGCGGGCACCTGTAGTCCCATCTACTCAGGAGGCTGAGGCAGGAGAATGGCATGAACCTGGGAGGTGGAGCTTGCCATGAGCTGAGATTGCACCACTGCACTCTAGCCTGGGCAACAGAGTGAGACTCCATCTCAAAAAAAAAATAGTAATAATTACAAAAGAAGATAGAAATGTCTGTGACAGCATGGTGGGTGAGGTATTCATTGAATTGGCCCTTCCAGCCCGGAAATAACTTCACAGGCTTTCCCCCATCTAGAAGCCAGATTGAACACACAGACTGCTCTCTGAAAGATAATTGAAAGCAAAGAACCACACACTAAAATTGCCAAACTCAAAGATAACCACATCAGTGGAAATAAGGAGAGCAAGGGGCTTGGGAACTTGTCTCTACTGCCAGATTTGTACTTTGCCTGTCTTGTCTAGATAGCCCCCTTTTGTGGCTTGATTTTGCTGAAACAGTTTAAAAATTTACATTCAATTTATTATTACATTATTCTCTATTTTTGTATCACTTCTGTTTCAATCATATTCATTTAACACAATATTTTAAACTTTGTTCTTTGTTCATATATATGTATGTGTATATACATATGCAAAGTCTCACTCTGTTACCCAGGCTGAAGTGCAGTGTCGTGATCTCAGCTCACTGCAACCTCCACATCCCAGGTTCAAGCGATCCTCCCACCTCAGCCTCGTGAGTAGCTAGGATTAAAGGCATGCACCACCATGCCTGGCTAATTTTTTTATATTTTTAGTAGAGAAGAGGTTTCACCATTTCGCCAGGCTAGTCTCAAAACTCCTGACCTCAAGCGATCCACCCGCCTTAGCCTCCGAAAGTGCTGGGATTACAGGCATGAGCCACCGCAACTGGCCAATATTTTAAGTTTTCAACTGTGTTTTATCTCCTTTTAAAAATATTAGATTCAGGGGTACAAATGTGTGTTTGTTACATGGGTATATTGTGTAACAGTGGGGACTGAGCTTCTAGTGTATCCATCACCCAAATATTGGAAAAAAAAAAGAAAAACAATTACAAAAGAAGGTAGAAATATCTATGACAGCATGGTGAGTGAGGTATTCATTGAATTGGCCCTTCCAGCACCCAATTGGTAATTTTTCAACCCTTAATCTCCTCATGCCCTCCCCTCTTTTGAAGTCCCAGTGTCTGTTATTTTCATCTTTACATTCATGTGTATCCATCATTTAGTTCTCACTTATAAATGAGAACATGAGATATTTCATTTTCTGCTTCTGAGTTAGTTCACTTAGGATAATGGCCTCCAGGTTCATCCATGTTGCTGCAAAGGATATAATTTCATTCTTTTTTCTGGCTGCATAGTATTCCGTGATCCAACTGTATTTTATCTCGATTTATATCATTAAGATGTAATGATATAAATTATGAGACTCATTGCTCTTTACTTTTTTCCTGCCCTCTTCATCTTTCATGATATCTGTTCGAATCCTATGGTCGGCCAGGCATGGTGGCTCACGCCTATAATCCCAGCACCTCGGGAGGCCGAGGTAGGTGGATCACCTGAGGTCAGGAGTTTGAGACCAGCCTGGCCAACGTGGTGAAACCCCATGTCTGCTAAAAGTACAAAAATTAGCCAGGCGTGGTGGCAGGCACTTGTAATTCCAGCTACTCAGGAGGCTGAGGCAGAAGAATCGCTTGAACCTGAGAGGCAGAGACTGCAGTGAACCAAGATCGCACCATTGCACTGCAGCCTGGGAGACAACAGCGAGATTCCATCTCAAAAAAAAACAAAACAAAAACAAACAACAACAACAACAACAAAAAACCCCTATGGTCATTTGCTTAAAGTGTTGCCTTCATAGAAAGCAGATTCTGGCCCTCCTACAACCAACTGGATGACCCTGATCACGTTATTAGGTTGAACCCCATGAAACTGCCATTTTGGTAGATCAAAAATAGTCAAATATGATCCAAATGCAGAATATAAACTCTCTGTGTCTCTACCTCTACCCCTGAAAAATGGAGCTACCAGTATTATTTAGGTAATAGGAATGTTTGAAGCATAAATGAGTTCATTTATGTAGAGCCCTTGGAGCAGGTCCTGGCATGTAGTAGTAAATGTTTGTTGGTGATACTAGTGGTGGTGGTGACATTAGTGGTAGTGATACTAATGTACTTTCTGAGGCCTTGCAGAAAAAGGAAATGACTGGATAACCAGCGAGGCCTGCCACCTGTCAATCCCCACCCATGGAGGCTGGAACTAAAGAAAGCAACAGTTCCACAGAAACTTTTTTTTTTTTTGAGACCGAGTCTCACTCTGTTGCCCAGGCTGGAGTGCAGTGGCGCAATCTCGGCTCACCGCAACCTCCACCTCCCGGGTTCAAGTGATTCTCCTGCCTCAGCCTCCCGAATAGCTGGGATTACAGGAGTGTGCCACCACGCCCAGCTAATATTTGTATTTTTAGTAGAGATGGGGTTTCACCATGTTGTCCAGGCTGGTCTCGAACTCCTGACCTCAAGTGATCTGCCTGCCTTGGCCTCCCAAAGTGCTGGGATTACTGGCGTGAGCCACCACACCTGGCCCAGATCATCCCTTAATAATCTTTTCCAAATAAATGATGTTTTATTCTTTGCAAAGTGCAGCCAGTTATTTATTCAGTGTTAACAGTTCACACTGTTGACTAATTTCTTACATCACCACTGCTAGATGGGTATTACTGTCACTTCAACGTAGAGGAAACTCTGGCTCAGTCAGAAGAAGGAACTTGTCAAGGTCACAAACTAGAGGGTAGCAGGGCAGGGTATGAGTCCACGTTTGGCTGATTCCAAAACACATGTTCATCATCCCTTTGCAAATGCAAACTCTTCATCTTTCAGAGATGTTTTCCTAAAAAACCCGGTGAGGTGTCAAATGACAGTATCCTAATTCTAGTGGTGTGCTGGTCTTGTGCTCTCCAAGAAAAAAAAAGTCCTAATTTGTAACGTTTGCTGATTTTATTGTCGTAAATAATTCCGCCATGGCTGATTTCAAGACTCGTGAAGCTCCCGAATCTTTAACAACTGGCTCTCAGGAACTGGTAGGAGCCCACTACAGCTCATCACTGCAGAGTTCCCATTTTACTGATGAACACACCAAGGCCCACAAGCATCCATTTGCTTGCCATAAGGCCATGTAACTAATAGCTAACCCTAGATGGGAACTTAGGACTTTTACTAAAAGACCCTTGAGGGCTGCCACAACTCCCCTCGTAGACACCATGCCAGGTAAGGAAAGAAAAGCGCCACTACTGAAGACAAACCCCAAAATACCTTATTGAAAAGGGGACTGTTCAGCCAGCCGTGGTGACTCATGGCTGTAATCCCAGCACATTGGGAGGCCGAGGCTGGCGGATCGCCTGAGGTCAGGAGTTCGAGAGCAGCCTGGCCAATGCAGTGAAACCCCGTCTATACTAAATATTCAAAAATTAGCTGGGGGTAGTGGCGGGCGCCTGTAGTCCCAGTTATTTGGGCAGCTGAGGCAGGAGAATCACTTGAACCCGGGAGGCAGAGTCTGCAGTGAGCCGAGATTGCGCCGCTGCACTCCAGCCTGGGCTACAGATTGAGACTCCGTCTCAAAAAAAAAGAAGGGTGGGGGCGACATGTTCTTAAAATTTGATCTTACATTTTTTTCAGTATTCTGTCACTAACTTGGGTTCTTCATCCAGAAAATGGACTAAATGGAGGGACCTAGATAAATGAGCAAAGGAAAGAGAACATCAGAAGAGAAGAAGAAAAAGATAAGATGGGCGAAGATGAAGAAATATTAGCCCAGGTGGGAACTAAATGGACTAAGAGAATAATACTTCCAGTGTGTCTCCCACCTCTTCTCTCTGCAGCTCCATCTCACTGTCTTCCGATGAAGACCAGCATTTCCACAGGGTGGGCACATCGTCATACGCAACATTCGAATCTCACATTTCCACCACCAGAGAAGAATATGGAGTCACCATTTCTGGCCCTCAGGACTGAAAACATACTTCTGAATAGCCCATGGGTCAAAAGAGAAATCAAAAGGGAAATCAGAGGGTACTTTGAACTGAATGGAAATGAAAACACAACATGGAATTTGGAGAATTGGGGAAATTTATAACACTAAATGTCTATGTTAGAGAAGAAAAGGGCTGGGTGCAGTGGCTCACGCCTGTAATCCCAGCACTTTGGGAGGCCGAAGTGGGTGGATCACCTGAGGTCAGGAGTTCCAAGACCAGCCTGGCCAACATGGTGAAACCCTGTCTCTATTAAAAAATACAACAACAACAACAACAAAAACAAATCAGCCGGGCGTGGTGGCGAGTGCCTGTAATTCCAGCTACTTAGGAGGCTAAGGCTGGAGAATCACTTGAACCCGGGAGGTAGAAGTTGCAGTGAGCTGAGATCGCGCCACTGCACTCCAGCCTGGGCAACGAGCAAAACTCTGTCTACAAAAAAAGAAAAAAAATGAAAAGAGAAAAGAGATCTCAGATCAGTTACATCAGTGTTCACTAAAAAAAATAGAAAAAGCAAATTAAATCCAAATTAATTAGGAGAAAGGATATAATAGACATAAAAACAGCAATCTCAGAAATGAGATAGAAATGAGAAACCCACCCCCCCACCCCCCACACACACACAATATCAAGGAACCCAAACGCTGGTTCTTGAGAAGATTTTTTTCAATTGATAAACTTCTAGCCAGAGTGATCAGGCAAAAAAGAGGGAAGACACAAGTTACCAATGTCCAGGATGAGAAAGGTAACGTTACTACAGATTAGACAGATTCCCACAGAATAATACTGGGACTTTTTGTTCCAATAAATTGAACAACTTAGATGAAATTTGCAAATTCCTTGAAAGATACAAACTACCAAAAAAAATTGATAAATTGGACTGCTTCAAACTCAAAAACTTTGCTCCTCAGAAGACTATATTAAAATAATCAGAAAGCAAGTCACCGGCTGGGAAAATATGTTTCAAAGATTCTTACGAAACAAGTCACAGGCTGGAAAAATATACTTCAAAGATACTTATTTCAAAGATACTTATGAAAAGGACTTGTATTTAGAGTATGCAAATAAATCTCAAGACTCAGTTTCAGTGAGAAATAAATTTGTAGATTCCATAGGCTGCTGGCTGCTGGTTGAACTGGCAATTTTTCCAGGTCTCTTATATGAAAGGTAAGGAATTGCTTGGTAAAGAGTGGGATATGACCATTGAAATTGGGATATCTGGGAGGATTCAAAAGGCTAGTACTCTGTTAAGTCTCTGGTCTTTTCTAAAATTATCCCAATTTCACTTCCTGTCTGATTAAATTATAGCTCCCTTTTTGGGAAAAGGCTAATCATTTCCCTCATGCCCCATCTTTCATTGTTTCTTCCTTAGTAACCAAAGTCAGAATTCAGCACAGCTTTTAGAATGAAATGAGGCTGGAATGGGAGGGGAGGTGCAGTGAGGGCTATCTAGGAGAAGCATTAGAAATTTTTTTAAATGGGGGCTGGGCACGGTGGCTCATGCCTGTAATCCCGGCACTTTGGGAGGCTGAGGCGGGTGGATCACCTGAGGTCAGGAGCTTGAGAACAGCCTGCCCAACGTGGTGAAACCCCATCAGTACTAAAAATACAAAAACTAGCCTGGCGTGGTGGTGCATACCTGTAGTCCCAGATACTTGGGAGGCTAAGGCACAAGAATTGCTTGAACCCGGGAGGCGGAGGCTGCAGTGAGCCAAGATCATGCCACTGCACTCCAGGCTGGGCGACAGAGCAGGACTCTGTCTCAAAAAAAAAGAAAAGAAAACAGAAATTTCTTAAAATGGGGAAATTTTTTCAGGGGATGAATTTTTTGAGTAGTCAGCCAAGACAGACAAAATGTAATTTGGGATATGACTCAATGTATTAATATGAATACATTCACCTACAGATCTAGTTTGAAAATCAGCCTACTATGATTCTAAGGGCTTGCTGGTCTGGCTAACACAATTCAGACCTAATTGTGGCCATAAAGAAATGAAATCAAAAGACACCAATTAAAAGGCAGGAATTCAAAAGCTTCAGCAGGCAGGGAGGGTGGTGTGGCTTTCCCTTGTGTTCTGCCCCCACACCACTTCTCACATCCCCCAGTGCTTCATCCTTGCCAGGAGTGACAGATAAAATGAAGTAAGCAAAGAGGTCCTTAAAAAGTACTTCATGGGCTGGGCACAGTGGCTCACATCTGTCATCCCAGCACTTTGGGAGGCCAAGGCGGGTGGATTGCTTGAGCCCATGAGTTCAAGACCAGCCTAGGCAACATGGGGAGACCCAGTCTCTACAAATATACCAAAAAATTAACTGGGCACGGTGGTGTGTGCCTGTAGTCCCAGCTACTTGGGAGGTTGAGGTGGGCAGATTGCTTGAGCCCAGGAGGTTGATGTTGCAGTGAGCTATGGTTGCACCACTGCACTCTCTAGCCTGGGTGACAACGGAGCAAGACCCTGTCTCTAAATAAATAAATAAATAAATATATAGCACTTCATGTCTGTACTCAAGTTAAATAGGAATTCTGCTGGATAGGGATGCTGTTCAAATAGGGTCTTGATCTTGGGAGCAACAGGAGAAGCCCAAAGTGGCCAAGCCCAGATCATGGCAATTAACCATTAGAGGTAAGGTGGACAGTCATGGAATTAGATCTCCAGGGATGGTATGACATGCAGAGAATGCTGGCCGTGACTTGGTGCTCCAGAAGTTAAATTCACAGCCAGGCTACTCAGTTCTTTTTTTTTTTTTTTTTTTTGATACAGAGTTTTGCTCTTGTTGCCCAGGCTGGAATGCAATGGAGCCATCTCAGCTCACCACAACCTCTGCCTCCCAAGTTCAAGCGATTCTCCTGCCTTAGCCTCCCAAGTGGCTGGGATTACAGGGATGTGCCACCACGCCCAGCTAATTTTTGTATTTTTAGTGGAGACGGTGTTTCTCCATGTTGAGCAGGCTGGTCTTGAACTCCTGACCTCAGGTGATCCCCCTACCTCGGCCTCCCAAAGTTCTGGGATTACAGGCATGAGTCACCACACCCAGCTGCTACTCAGTTCTTAATTATTTCAAAGCAAAAATGCTCACGCATAGAAAACTAGATATCTAACCTGCGTTGAAGAGTCTTAACTTTTCATCTAATTCCCTGACCTGATTCAGTTCATGAATCCAGACTCCCTTAAATGACAGGATGGCTGGGTACTATCGAGGAAGAATTCTCTGTGACTCCACATCTGCCCCATAAAGCTTTCTCCCAGCCATTCCCAAAAGAAATGACAGCCATTTGCTCGTACTGACACTAAGCCCCAGGAAGGCAGAACACCACTGAGTTTTGTCAGTCTCAACAGGTGCTTATGGTGGCCAGGTGATAAATGGATTCCTAACCTAAGTTTGCATCTTGGCAGGCCCAGTGGAAACGAGGCTCTTTCTTAGGATATTTCAATATTCTGAGTGTTTAGTTGACTGATCTCAGCAAGTAACCGAATGCCCACATTGGTTTCCCCAATGTGGCCATTCCCCAATGCGGCCAAGTTGCATGTGATCCCATTAAATTTCATAATACTTATAGTACCTAAAATTACCTTGGTTATGTTTACTGTTTCTTTGTCTCTTCCAACTAGAATAGAAATTGATTTAGGCCAGGCGCGGTGGCTCACGCCTGTAATCCCAGCACTTTGGGAGGCCGAGGCAAGAGGATCATGAGGTCAGGAGATCGAGACCTTACTGGCCAACACGGTGAAACCCCGTCTCTACTGAAAATACAAAAAAAAAAATTAGCTGGGCGTGGTGGCGGGCACCTGTAGTCCCAGCTACTCGGGAGGCTGAGGCAGGAGAATGGCGTGAACCCGGGAGGCGGAGCTTGCAGTGAGCCGAGATTGTGCCACTGCATTCCAGCCTGAGTGACAGAGTGAGACTCTGTCTCAAAAAAAAAAAAAAAAGAGAGATAGAAATTGCTTTAAAGGCAAAGACCATTTCTCTAATTTACTACTATATTCCCAGAGCCTAATAGTGAACTCTCAAATGTTTATAGAATAAATTATGCTAGGATCAAGCCCATGTCACTGAAGAAATCTTCCCCAATCACTGAAGTGAATCAAAAGCAAAAGTGCACCCTTAGAAAAATCAGCAATCAGGTCACAAAGACTTAAAACCTGCTGTGTCCTGATTCCTATCACATCTCTACCCAGCTCACCCATTTGGTACAAAAGGTTAATGGGACTTAGAGAATAACTGTATCTATCAAAGACTTAATCAAGTAGTGGGACCAGATGTGGTCTCCTTGCTGGAATTAGTAAATACAGCTCCTGGCATTTGAGA